>NC_000001.11:231790182-231941697 GCF_000001405.40 Homo sapiens
TGCTACATGGAGTAGCAACTCTTTTTACCTGGATCGTGAAGCACCAGTGTGCGGTGCCCTAATAATACCTATAACTCATCATACCACAAGAAATGGAAAATTCCACATGCATGAGTCTGCTAGGGCTGTCGTAATAAAGTACCATGGACAGGGTGGCTTAGACAACAGAAATTTATTTTCTCACAATTCTGAAGGCTGAATGTCTAAGATCAAGGTGTCAGCAGGGTTGGTTTCTTCTGAGGCTCCTCTCCTTGGCTTGCAGACAGCTGTCTTCTCTTTTGTCTTCAGATGATCTTCCCTCCACATGTGTCTGTCTCCGCATCTCTTCTTTTCTTTTCTTTTCTTTTTTTTTTCAAGATACAGTCTCCCTCTGTCGCCCAGGCTGGAGTGCAGTGGCATGATATCGGCTCACTGCAAGCTCTGCCTCCCGGGTTCACGCCATTCTCCTGCCTCAGCCTCCCAAGTAGCTGGGACTACAGGCGCCTGCCACCACGCTCGGCTAATTTTTTGTATTTTTAGTAGAGACGGGGTTTCACCGTGTTAGCCAGGATGGTCTCCATCTCCTGACCTTGTGATCTGCCCACCTCGGCCTCCCAAAGTGCTGGGATTACAGGCGTGAGCCACCGCGCCTGGCCTTCCACATCTCTCCTTATAATGATACCAGTCATATTGGATTGGGGTTCACCCTAATGACTTTATTTTAAATTTATTACCTATTGAAAAGCCCTATCTCCAAACATCGTCACATTCTTAGGTACTGGGGATTCGGACTCCAACCTGTGAATTTTGGGGGACACAACTCAACCGGTGACAGGCACCTTTGCATTTAATTTTCTTTTGCCACAGCCACCCCCCAGGCTCATCTGCTGCTGATGTGCGTTCTGTGCAGCACATTCATGTCAGTAGTCTCAATTTTTGTAAGGTTTCATTTGTTGAGGGTGAAATTTGGTCATATGATTGGAACACCAGTTTGTGAGTAAAGAATAATGTGTATTTACAAATCATGATATTGATTATATTGTACATTGAACAAAATTCTGAAATAGAATTCCAAAAATTTGTCTGGATGACAGTTCATTTTAAATAGGTACACAGCTTCTGGGAGCGGTAGTTAGTATTGTTCAACAGTTAGGAGAGCAGATAGTTAGACTGCCTGGGTTACTGTTTAATCTCCCATAATTACCAGCTGGTTACCCCTGGGAAAGTTACTTAAACCTCTCTTAGTCTCTTTGATGAAATTTTCTTGTCTTACAATGTAGATAATTAGAGTTTCTACTTCATAGAGTTATAATAAGAATTTAAAATGCTCATCTACATAGAGAATTTGGGAGAGTGTCTGGTACATAGTAAGTGTTCAATAAATGTTGGATTCTATTATTTCCAGGGCAGCCACTTTGAATGAAGATACTCATTTGGGTAAATTAGGTCTGGTGTGTTTCTGAAAATGTGTTCGCTAATTTGTTTGGACAAATTGTGTGTTTCTAGGGTAAGGCATAATTTCATCTGAGAGGATAATTCTTGTTTGTTATGAATAATATGCAAGTTTTTTAAAAAGTGGGGATTGGTTTCACTCATTAAAGTACACGGAACTCCTGCTTGTCAGCATTGAACTGGTCTTATTTTCTGGTTTTTGGTTTGTAGTCCTGCTCCTGGAATTACGGTTTGGGGACCACAGTGTGATGGCAGCAGCAACATGTGTGTATGTTTGGGGGACTAATGTGACATCTTTGTACCCTAGGCCAGACACCCCACTTCAATAAAAGCAGATTCCCTGTTATCTTTATTATGTTTTATAGTGCTGTGTAAACTTTGGTTTGAGAGAATTCTTCTACTATAAATAGCCTGAAACCCACTAGCATAGTATATAGATTCCTCATATCGTCTGCTCCCCCAACAATTGCTTTTATTCTGTATATACCCCAGGGATACAACTAATGTTAATAGTAGCCTGAGCAAAACGTAATTGGGAAGGCAAATCTGTTGCAAAAAGGAATATAGCATAAATTAATTATAAATCAAATTAAATATAAAACAATGCATTTAATTATCTGCATCACTGCCCCCTTCCTCTAACATGGATATCTGAGAGGAGACTGATTTTCTTTCTGGGATAGGGCCAGATCTCAGCCCAGACAAGTGAACTGTGTCAACCCCTGGAAAGATGGTGCTTGACCTCCTTTTTTGTGATATGTTGGGCATTAGCTAAAGGCACTGCTGTTTTGGTCAGCTAAAATTTCAGTATCAGTAAGAGGATCTACTACCTATCTGAATTGTTAATGCATGGGCTAGTCTTTGTGTGTGATTGGGAACACCTACTTATAATATACTATTAAATGCTCATATAGGTTCAATGATGTGTTGAACCATTTATTAAAAATGTATTTGTTGAATGGACTCTAACGAGCCCAGCAAGGGAAAGTGCATTTCTGCCCAAGGAAGGTTTTCAGTTTGGGCAGCAGGCATTAGCCACCCAAAGCTGGTGCTGCTGTTAGAATCAGAGGAAGAACCAGTACGGGTCCATGTTGGATGCCCTCTGTCCTTCTCACCACCCTAAGTGGTTTCATCTGCCCCAATCTCCATGTCTGTGTGACACTCTGACTTATGTTCTCTCAAAAGATCCAATCCCTGGCCAGCCAGAGTCTAGCATTCTCCAGGCAGGATTCCAAACATTGTTTTCCACTGTTCCCACTGAGTACACGAATTTTTGTCAGATGGCAGCTCCTGAATTCTGAAGAGTCTGGTGTCACATGCCCCACCTCTGTCAAACCTCACTTCTTCCATTTGGGCTGATCTCAGCTGGACTGGAAAACCCTCCTCTGTTGAAAGTAGGTCTAAAGTGGTAATGACTGATTAGTACGGACCTGCACCAGTTCCCAGGTATTTACAATTGAAACGAGTTTGCTTATACTCAGAAGTGACAAATTGGTGGATGTGATAACATCAAAATATAGTTCTTACAGTTGAAGAACAAACAAACAAAAATCAGCAAATTGGCAGCTTAGCTCCGATACTTGGCAACCTCTGGTATGAGATTTCCTGACACCCTGCACACTTTCCCTTCCCCTCCCAACACATACCCCAGAAACCTTGACCTTTCCTTTTGCAGGTCATCATTTAATCAAGTAATCACTCCTCTTCTAGCATCTATTACATTTTCTGGCATTTCTAGCAGCAGTAAGTGGTTGAGGGCAGGAACCATGTCTTCATGCTCTAAGTTCCTAGCTTGCTGGGTGCCCAGTAGATAGATATTTGAAGAATGAGTGAGTTCATGAATGCATGAAAGAGTGGAAAACTCTAGAATGGATGTTCTCACTGCTGTGAGCATCCACGTAATCCAGTCCTGTTCTTCCCTCCCCTTTCTGACCTCTATCACTCTGCGGGGCCCATGGACCCCATGACGGGCTTACACTGCTGAAGAGGCCTGTCTGGTTTTGTCACATTCAGACTTTCTTCCTCCAAATCATCTCTCATAGTGCAGCCCAATTATTTTTCTAAAAAACAAAAACACTTCTTTCATATTGCTCTCTTGCTAGAAAACGGAATGATTTCTCATTGCTTGAGGGATAAAACTCAAAACTCCTTAGTCTGGCATTTAATACTGACTAGAGCTTGCCCTTGATATTTCTTTAAAAATATTTTAATTGTAAATATTTCAAACATATTTAAAAATACAACACTCATTTATCCACTACTAGGATTAAACAAATAGTAGAATTTACCCCATATTTACTTTGATTTTCTTTCCCTGACTAAATAAATTTATTTTATTTTATTTTTTGGAGATGGAGTCAGGGTTTCACCATGTTGGCCACGCTGCTCGCGAACTCCTGACTTCAGGTGATCCACCCCCCAAGGCCTCCCAAAGTGCTGGAATTACAGGCGTGAGCCACCACGCCCGGCCCCTAACTAACTAAATAAGCAAACATTATAGATACAGATAGGCCCCACCCCATCCTTCTCTCTCTTTTCCTACCAGAAATAGTCATTTCCCTGTTTATCTTTCACAACTCACCTGTGAGAACCATTTGGTCCAGTTAGATTTATCTTCTTGCTAGAATTTCATTCTCTTTTTTTTTTTCCCTTTGAGGCCCAGTTCACTTTTCACCTCTTCTGGTAAGCTTTCCCACCAATCTCCTAGTTCTAAATTGCTGCACAAGTTATTTTCTCCATTGCTCAAGGCAGACAATATTCTGCCTGGTGACAGCTTTTATGTAGCAGTTTTCTCCTAGTATTGATTTTCTATTCCCCTTATAGTAATTTTTTCCTCTTGCTTTATATTATAGCGAATTGCATGCCTGTGTTTCTTCTCTACTAGGTAACAACCTTCAGAATAAGATCTGACTCTTAATTGCATTGATTCATTCATTCTACAGGTATTGACTGAGGGCTTACTAACAAGCTCCAGGAATTCTTTAAGCACTGGGGATGCAGGAGTGGACACAACAGACAGTCGCTGCCTTCATGGAACTTAAGTTCCAGTGGGAGAGAGAGAAATTACATGAATAAATAAATATGTCAAGATGAAAAGTGCTATGGAGAAAAGAGAAGCAGGAGAAGGCTAAGGGGGTGCTATCTCAGACATACTTTAAATATGTGTCTCTCCTTTATGCTCTATGTCAATGCCGAATGCAGAGGGCTCTGGGTACATATTTGCTGAATTGCATTGTCTACCCAAATAGATACTATTTGATTCCCTGCTGGTGAGACACTACTCAGTGTAGACCTTCCTTCTGGGAAGGTTGTTATAGGAATGCAGATTTTAATCCTTTGCTGCCAGGAGCACACCTTGGCTGTTCTTCCCGTTATCAGTAGATGTACACTCTGGGCATGATAAAATTGTAATACTAGCTTTAGTAAGGCATAATAAGGGAGGAAAGGTCTGTTTCCTAGCACCATATTTATTCCGTAGTCAAATGGAGCCAATTTGGCATCATCTTTCCTCCTGCACTTCTTCGTCCATCAGACCAGTGGAAGGTTCACTTTTTGCAGTGTTCCTAACTGTAGTGGTATTGAATTGTGGTTACCAAGAAGACCAATCTCCTCTTTTTAATTCTTCCAGCCTCCAGGAAAGAATAAAATCCCTCAACTTGTCACTTAAAGAAATCACTACTAAGGTAAGTACCTTTATATTCCCATTTTCCAAAGAAGCCTATGAAGTTTTCGTTTGACTTGATTTTACATCTAGATCTTAGGATACCTGGCTTCTGCAAAAAAAGATGTAGACTTTGTCAAGCCATTTTGCAGGCCCAATGATGAGTTAAAAGAGCCAGGAGAGAGTGCTTCTGTCATAGTGGAGGTCTTGACTTGTGGACACCCCAGAAATGGACTGGTTTGGCCTTTGCTACAAAAGGAGCTGTCAATTTAGGGACTGAAAAAGGACTGCCACTATGCATATTGAAAGCCTTTGCTTAAAGATGCATTCGGGGCTTGGTGCGGTGGCTCACGCCTGTAATCCCAGCACTTTGGGAGGCCGAGGTGGGTGGATCACCTGAGGTCAGAAGTTTGAGACCAGCCTGACCAACATTGTGAAACCCCGTCTCTCCTGAAAATACAAAAATTAGCTGGGTGTGGTGGAGGGTGCCTGTAATCCCAGCTACTCAGGAGGCTGAGGTAGGAGAATTGCTTTAACCCAGGTGGTTGAGGTTGCAGTGAGCCGAGATTGCACCATTGCATTCCAGCCTGGGAGACAGAGCGAGACTCTATCTCAAAGAAAAAAAAAATGCTTTCAGGATGGTAGTAATTTGAGAAATTAATTACTTTTCTTCCCAGGAGGGCAATGTCTGGTTTCCTCACAAATAGAACAGTTGGTGACTGTTTTTTTGTTCTTTAAAGCTTTTCAGTTGGCTTGACAATCATTTTGCCTACTTTATCCATCGTTTATACTGCCATAGCAAGACCTTGGTTTGTGTACAGACAGAATACGTCTTCACTATTCCCTGAGAGCACAGTCAATTAAATAGTCAATGTCCTCATTAGTTAGGATAACCACAGTTTACAAAACAAAAGCCCTTCTCATATGTATTTATACCTGGCCAAGTTATTGACAGACTGAGAAACAGGATCAATTACTCTGTGAATTATGACTAAATGTTGTGGCAGAGAACTGGGTATGAATCATTCATTATTTGCAGTTGGTCTGGGAACGAGGGGTGGTTGTACCATGGTCGAAATGTAAAAAGGACAGCTTGCTGAGCAGAGAGCAACGCAGCTGAGAGCCTGTTGGCCTGGAAGGACTCTCTTCCGGTCTCTGTGCCCAGAGAAAGAAAGTCTTGGACCCTAGATCAGGAAACACGCCAAGGGATCACCGCAGCTAAGCCAGAATCAGGGATGTGATGTTGGCAAAAATGTCTGGAGTTACTCTGTGCATTTTCTCCATTTCTGTATCTAATTTATTTCTGAAAACAACACCCAGTGATTTTGCTAAAGGTCACAGAGCCGCAGGTTTGATGGGTAATTATAACTTGTGTACAAAGAGAGCTTCCTGTTAGGAACAAGTGGTGCCCGTAAGACAGCATCGGAGCCAGGGACCCAGAAATGCTTGACTTCTGCTCTGCTCACCCAAAGGTTCTTTCACCCAGGCTGGAGTGTAATGGCATGATCATAGCTCACTCAGCCTTGATCTCCCGGGCTCAGGTAATCCTCCTGCCTCAGCCTCCCAAGTAGCTGGGACTACAGACACATGCTACCTTGCCCAGCTAAATTTGTTTGATTTTCAGTAGAGACCAGGTCTTGCTAGGTTGCCCAGGCTGGTCTTGAACTTCTGAGCTCAAGCGATCCTCCTGCCTCAGTGTGTCAAAATTGGGATTGCAGGCAAGAGCCACCGCACCTGGCCTCTCTTACATTTTCTGCTGTTTATCAGGTGCGTCCTGATTTCTATGTAGAATTAAAAGATGGGAGGACTGTCTTGGGTCTGAGTTTATTGACTATCTTCAGAACATACTGTATGGGTAATATGAATGCATCTGTACACCAACGTTGAGGATACAGGTGTGCCTATTATATAATGCAGATGGTGCTTATATGGGTGTGTGTATGACACTGTATATTGTGGATACACACATATACTGATACGCACCCAATATTAGGATTTGCTGAAAATTTCCAACTACTATTAAAGATCTTAGATTTTCCCAAATATCAAAAATGGGTTGTTTTGTTTGCATACAGTCCTACTCCATTTGAGTTGCTATAACAAAGTACTGTAGACGAGGTGGCTTATAAACAACAGAAATTTAATTCCCATCACTTTGAAGCCTGGAAGTCTGGGATTAGGGTTCCAGCATGGCTAAGTTCTGGTGAGAGGCCCTCTTACAGGCTGCAGACGGTTGACTTCTTGTTGTATTCCTGCATGGAAGAAAGAGGGCAAGGCGGGGTCTCTGGGGCTTCTTTATAAGGGTACTAATCCCCTTCATGGGGGCCCCACCTTCATGACCTGATCACCTCCCAAAGGCCCCACCTCCTAATGCCATCACCTTGGGAGTTAGACTTTCAACCTATGAATTCTGGGGGGAAAAAAACATCTCCAACCATTGCACATACCTTCTCTAATACATTTATAAAACTTTATAATTACTTCGCTTTTCCATAAAATTAAGGAACTCACATCTTTGATTTTAAAATGTAAACATAAAAGCCCCATTTGATAATGAGTTCCTTGGTGTCCAATTTTATTTGTAAATAAAAAGGATACACAGGTTTTCCGGGGATGTGTATGTGTGTGTGCAGAGGTGGATAGGTGTGTGTGCACAGACACGAATGTGTGTGTGTGTTGTGGGCAGGGGCCTATATTAGTCCACAGAGAATTAAAACAAAACTGTCCAGTCACACAAAACACCTTTCTCTGTACTTTAAACTAGATTGACCAGTGACCATGAGCTGAGACCAAGGTCTCAGCTTGACATAGCTTTCTTTCTCTAGTGTGTTAGACACACCACACACACACACACACACACATACACACACACCCCTACCTGATATTCTTTAGACTCCTGTCTCAGAAAGAAATGAAACCTTCCTTGCACTCATTACATTTCTTAAACTCTTATGGGTTACCCAAACCAAAAGTAATTAAGGGATAAATGAGATGGAAGAAACAGTTGGAAATAAATGGGATATCTGGAGATTGGTAGATATTAGATTACATCCAGCAGAGCCTGAAAGAATGAACATTGCAATTTAATAAGAAGATTCAGAAAGGTTGTTTAGTATTAATATTGACAGCTTGAAAGATAGATTTGCTCAACAAAGGAGAAACTGACTCAATTATGATTAACAGATACTGTTCACTAAAATCAGAAATATTGGACATAGACTGGATGAGACATAAGAATTATGGCTGGTATTACAGAGTTAATGGAAATGCCCTCAGACCTCAGATGACATTATTAAATAGATAGGATGGGATGTGCCAGTCATCTGGTTTGAGCCAAACTAAGACTTGGTGCTGGGGGAAGGGATATCTTCCTTTTAACTCTGAAAAGTCTCAAGACTGTTGAAAGGGTCTCGGAATTAATTACTTTGGACATGCGGATGCCCAACATCACCAGTGCATGCTTTGGTTTAGAGGCTACCAAACTGTCGTCTTCATCCAGAGAATGATTTTTATAAAAAAGATGTTGGAAAATTACAGCCACTGAATAGAACATATGGAAGTCCATGAGAGAAAGAGTGGAGTATTTTAGGCAGGATGGATGAGGTCTGCTTTGACTCCAAAAATAATCTCAATTCAAACTGATATAAGAAAACATTTAAAGTTGATGGTGTCCCACAAACCTTAGATTCTTCTGGGAAATTAAATTTTTCTAGGTAGCTCATTAATCTGAGTCTAGATAACATTGGCATATGAAAAGTCTTGAGACTGTTGAAAGGGTTCAAAAAAGGAAAAAAATGTGATGTTTTAGCCTCCAACAAAATAAAAGATAACCTAAAGACATTTGGAAAAAGAAATTAAGATTTAAGATTTTTGCTATTTTTGAAAAACCAAAGAAAAAAACTGTAGGATGTGTTTGGAATGTCATGGGAAAATACATGATAAAACTCTCAAACCTCACTGAGAGTTACTTGTCTATTTTTCAAATCTGACTTGCCAGCAAGTATCTATCTGCCTTCAAAGTTTCCCTAAACAGTGTCTATTAATACTAGTAATTAAATTTAGCTTGCAGCTTTGACCTTCATCTCAATGGCCATATCTTTATTCACTGCGTACTATGTGCCAGGCACAGAGCAAAATCCCTGCTCACATAGAGCTCGTATCCCGGCAGAGAGACAATGTGGAAACAAAGGAATAGAATTACATGGTGTATCATCTGAGAAGAAGCTGTGGAAGAACATCAAGCGGAGGGAGGGCCAAGGGAGGTTGCTATTTTGGGTGGGTAATCAGTAAGGCCTTTCCTCCCAGGCAGCGACTGAGCAGTCTGGAAGGGTATGAGTGAGCCAAACCACCTGGGACTACAAAAGTGATGCAGACAGGAGGATTCGGCAGAGGCCTGGAGAAGGCAGGAGGCAGGAGTGATGCAATTATGTTACCTTGTGGTTGCTCTCTGTTAGCTCCTATCAGTTTTGTAATTGGATGTGGGGTGATGATGGGCATATGCTTGGAATATGCCATTGCTCACTTTATTTTTGTTCTTCTTCCTACATTTCCCTCCCTCTTTCCCTTCTCTTTCCTTCCCTTCCTTTCCCTTCCCTTCCCCTTCCCCTTCCCTCCTTCCCTTCCTCCCTTCCTCCCTTCTTCCCTTCCTCCCTTTCTCCCTCTCTTCTTTGTCTTTCTTTTTCCATTGCTTGCTTTTTGAACATTGTCTTCCAATTACTTTTCATCACCCCTTTTAATTACTTACAAACCCAGAAATCTCTGACCTGGCTGTTCCACTGCCTTCTGATTTTTAGCTGAATAAATGATGATTCCTGGTCATTTCTCTCCCCCTAGGTGTGTATGAGTGAGAAATTCTGCAGCACCCTGAGGAAGAAAGTTAACGATATTGAAACCCAACTACCAGCCTTGCTTGAAGCCAAAATGCATGCCATATCAGGTAACTGGCAGTGTAGGAGACGTTGAAGCTATCCAACTAAAATAATGACAGCTACCAGCACATCGTGTTTTGTCCTCGATGAACATTCCACTGTTATTATGTCATTCTCAGACATCTGAAAGCTTTTCTGGGAAGTTTCACTAATATGCACATAATATAGCACAAGGTGTTTAAGTGAGTACCGTATTTGGGATTTCTAGTTCCTGTTTCTTGAAGAGTTTAGAGACTAAATGTACTCTGTGTGCCATATGATTCTAGCAGATGTGTATGTAGCATTGTGTATCTGTAAATACTGAATGAGGATTATTGGGTGTGATCAGACCCTTTCTATAGAGGGAAGGATGGTAACATGAGACAAATTAATGTCCTCAGTTTGAAAATCTAGTCATAGAAACTTGGCGAATCCTCAAAGGATTATGCTCCCTCTTACTCTGGCAGTTATTAAGGAATTGATTTTTCCATTAATTAGTAGCTTGAAGTCAAGAGTCTCTGAAAACAGTATCTTATCCTATCATTAGTGCTTTCAAACACTCCTCTGGATTTGTTATTTTATTTTCACAATTGCTATATTAGGTAGATGGGAGAGAGACCGTGATCCGAATGGACTGATGGGGAGGTTGAGGCTGCGGGATGTGTCCTTTGGTTAAGGTCACTCAATTAGCTAAGCAGTGGCAGATCTGGGGCTAAAGTCCAGGCCCTCTCTCGGTGTATTATATATGGATTTTTAACCCAGTTATGTAATGACAGCTTCAAAAAGTTCTCTGAGTTTTATAGGTTGAATGGACCCAGAGCTCATCAGCTTCAAAAGAATCATAAAAATTTAACAAAAAGTTATAATAATTACATGTATGTGTTTTAAATGGTATTTTAAGAAGGAATACAATAATTGGCAGCTTCTGCTCCTCAGATCATTAAACAACTAATGTTGGCAGCTAAAGAGCAATTTGGTCCCTGGTGCAGTCACGCGTATTATTTACAACCAGTAGAACATGGCAGCGCAAATGTGGGGCTTGGCTCTTAACAGCTTCACATGCCATTTACTTGAAATTATGGGCCCATTTGCTGAGAGAAAAAAAAAGAAGATTGAACACAGTCTTGCTTCTGAGTTAGGGTTTTTGCCTTTCTTAATCAATATATCTTTCCCAGGAATACCGGTGGATGAGTCTGTGTTAAGCCCAAGGGAAGAAATGTATAATTCAGGCAGCAGAGATAGCCTCACTCCAATGTGAACAATCTCTCTTCAGACTCCAGGGAAAATGCCCAAGATGGTATATTGCGTATGGCGCAGGTTTCCTGTTTTAGCTCTTTGGTCAGCTGAGAAAATTGGTGAGGCCTGATCTGCTGAAGGATGACCTGAATTAACCCTCCTGGTAACTGACCTTTTGACCTCACTATTTTCTGGTTGCTCTGTATGCTCTTTGGTGGACCGGCCTTTCAGTCAATGGGCTGTCCCCATAGGTGATACTAGTGTTAAGGTGGTCAACATTTGTTTGCAACTCCTGCATATAATGCTATTTCTGTTTTCTCCTGTTTCAATACCTTCAGAATGGGCAAACCCTCACTCCATTAGGTAAGATTCTTAAAAGCCCTATTGAATGGAAAGGATCTTGGTTTTTTTTTTTTTTTGAGTCAGAGTCTCGTTCAGTCGCCCAGGCTAGAGTGCAATGGCGCGATCTCGGCTCACTGCAAGCTCTGCCTCCTGGGTTCATACCATTTTCCTGCCTCAGCCTCCCAAGTAGCTGGGACTACAGGCACCCGCCACCACGCCCGGCTAATTTTTTGTATTTTTAGTAGAGACGGGGTTTCACTGTGTTAGCCAGGATGGTCTCAATCTCCTGACCTTGTGATCTGCCCTGAATGGAGAGGATCTTAAGGGAGGTCCTTAAGATTCTTAGGGGGTCTTTTGTCTCTCTTCAAGTTTCTATGATTCGCTTAGATTTATAGACTGATTGATATGGTTTGGCTCTGTGTCCCTACCCAAATCTCATCTCAAATTGTAATCCCCACATTCAAGGGAGGGACCTGGTGGGAGGTGTTTGGATCATGAGGGCGGTTTCCCCCATGCTGTTTTCGTGATAGTGAGTGAGTTATCATGAGATCTGATGGTTTAACAAGTGTTTGGTAGTTCTTCCTGCATTCATTCTTCTTGCCACCTTGTGAAGAAGGTGCCTTGCTTTCCCCTTGCCTTCCGCCATGATTGTAAGTTTCTTGAGGCCTTCCTAGCCATGGGGAACTGTGAGTCAATTAAATCTATTTTCTTTAAAAATTACCCAGTCTCAGGTGGTATCTTTATAGTAGTGTGAGAAAGGACTAATACATCCATCCTGACTTTGATCTATGGCCTGAGGTCCTTTCTTAATTTGAGAACTATTTGCCATTTGCAGAGAGTAGGAATAACAAATTAGTTTCATTTTCAAACCTGGCCAGATCTAGCTCCTTTACATGTAACAGTTTATTCTTTAATTCATCTCTCTTCTCTTGCATTTCATCACAGGCATTGACAGGAGGTCAGTGGGCACTTCTGTATTCTGCCTGGAAATCTCCTTGGATGTCTAACTACAATTATTAGGGACTCTTTTTTATATTGCCTCAGTTGGTAACTGAGTGACTTTTTTGCCACTACAAGGATCTTTTTTTTTCTAGTTTCTGATATATTTTTCTTACTTTTTTCTATCCTTCACGGAGGCCCATGAGGCTTCTGCCTACTACCAAGTCCCAAAACCAATGCCTCGATTTTAGGATTTTGTTACAATAGTATCCCATATCCAGATACCAAAATCTATTTTCATTATCTACTGCTGCCTAATAAAAAATAAGTCACTTTAAGACGTAGTGACTTAAAATATTACCAGTTATTTATTTTGCCCATGGAAATACAATTTGGGCAGGGCTTGGCAGGGACAGCTAGGGTGGCTCAACTGGGGTGGGAGAATCCACACCCAAGACGGTGCATACATATGGTCTGGCTGTTGAGTGCTCTCTATGTGGGCCTCTCTATAGGCAGCTTGGCTTCCTTACAACATGGCTGCTGGGTTCCAAGAGCAAGTGTCCCAAGAGAAAGGAAATGGAAATTTCTTATTCTTAAGGTCTGAATTCAGACACTGGTATGCATCTCTATTAATGTGTAATAAGTGGCTCCTCAAACTTCATAGCTTGAAACAACAAACCTTTATCTCTCACAGTCTCTGAGAGACAGGAGTCCAGAGTGACTTAGCTGGGTGGCTCTGACTCAGGGTCTCATAAGGTCGCTGTTAAGACACACTTTGGAGCTGCAGTCGTCTAAAGGCTTGGCTGGGGCTGAAAGATCTGCTTCCAAACTCATGCATGTGTTGTTAACAGACGGCTTCAGTTCCTTGCCACAAGAGCTGTGCCCTAGGACCTCTTGCAACATAGCAGCTGATTTCCTCAGAGCCAGTGATCTGAGGGAGAGAGACCAAATAAGACAGAAGCCACAGATGCCAGGCGCGGTGGCTCACGCCTATAATCCCAGCACTTTGGGAGGCCGAGGTGGGTGGATCACGAGGTCAGGAGATCAAGACCATCCTGGCTAACATGGTGAAACCCCGTCTCTACTAAAAATACAAAAAATTAGCTAGGCGTCATGGCGGGCGCCTGTAGTCCCATCTACTCGGGAGGCGGAGGCAGGAGAATGGCATGAACCGGGAGGCGGAGCTTGCGGTGAGCCCATATCGCGCCACTACACTCCAGCCTGGGTGACAGAGCAAGACTCCGTCTCAAAAAAAAAAAAAAAAAAAAAAAAAAAAGCCACAGTGTCTTGTTAGGACTTAGCCTTCAAAGTCACACAGCATCACTTCTGCTTAGTGACTAGAAGCAAGTCACTAAGTTCAGTTCAGCCCACAGGCAAGGGGAAGGAAACAGGTTTTACCCCAAAGGAGGAGTATTAAAGAATTTGGTGGGCATATTTTTATAACCACTGCAGTGTTACTTCCATTGTGTTTTATTGGTCCAGCATTCCTGGTGTGCTGATTCAAGGGAAGGGCCACTATAACAAGTCTCAATGAGAGGTGTGTCAAAGAGTTTCAGTGCCATGCTCTAAAAAGTGCCACAGTATTTATTGAGACAGAAGGATTTTGAGAACTGAAGACCTGGACAGAGAGCTTTTCAGTCAGAGGAAATGGCCTGTTCCATTTATTTACTGAAAAGAAAAATATCATGGAGCATCTAGGAAGTGTCAGATCTGGTTCTAGGTACTGAGGATGCAGTAGAGAACAGGACAAGATCCCCCTTCCTTTTTTTTTTTTTTTGAGGCAAGGTGTTGCTCTGTTACCCAGGCTGGAGTGCAGAGGTAAGATCATAGTTGACTGCAGCCTTGAATTCCTAGGCTCAAGCCATCCTTAGCCTTAGCCTCTGGAGTCACGGGATTATAGGCATGAGCTCCTGGCTCAATGTCTCTTCTTTTTTGATAGCTGTGTTCTCCCATTGGCCACAGTGGAATGGAGCTAGATATGCCTGGGCTGAATATGGAGGAAAAGCTCAGCTATTTCTTCAGGAGGAAGAGTAGTCTAGATTGGCCCAGGTATAGGATTAGTATTGTGGTAGCTCTTCAGAGTTGGTTAGGACCAGGATACACAGAGCTCTGAATTGTAGGCTAAGGATAAGAGCATTTTAGGGAGCCATTACCATGTTTTAGCGGAGTAGTGACATGATTAAAACCAGACTTTAGGAAGCGTAATCCGGCCATGTTGTACACAGAGGGATGGATGTGGCAACACCTTGGGAGTCATGGAATTAACTAGGATGTTAGAAATGAAAAAAGGAAGAAAAGTAGGCTAGTATAGGAAATCTACTACAGATAGGTAATTATTGATTTTTGGAAGAACCATGATGATATTAATATATCCAGTTGAGTGTGGTGTAATACACATTAAGAAAAGTAATTTAGAGAGCCCATTGTTTCTCTCCCTTTTCACTGTACACACCTTAAGTGTGTTTTAGTCACCTCTTTTTTTCCATTCTCTATTTCTGTTTCAATTTTCCTGTTCAGCAGAGGATAGTTTGGTTTAAAGCCGATAGCAAAAGTGGATTCTGTTGTTGCTGTCCTTCCTAGACATATCAGTCCGTTCTCACACTGCTGTAAAGAAATACCTGAGGCTGGGTAATTTATAAAGAAAGGAGGTTTAATTGGCTTATGATTCTGCAAATTGTACAGGAAGCATGGCAGCATCTGCTTGGCTTCTGGAGAGGCCTCAGGAAACTTACAATCATGGCGGAAGGTGAAGGGGAAACCAGCACTTCACACGGCCAGAGCAGGAGGAGGGGGGTGGGGGAGGTGCCACGCACTTTTAAGTAGCCGGACCTTGTGATAACTCACTATGGCAACAGCATCACCAAGAGGGATGGTGCTAAATCATTAATGAGAAACTGCCCCTATGATCCAATCACCTTCCACTGGTGCTAAATCATTAATGAGAAACTGCCCCTATGATCCAATCACCTTCCACTGGTGCTAAATCATTAATGAGAAACTGCCCCTATGATCCAATCACCTTCCACCGGGCCCCACCTCCAGCACTGAGGATTACATTGCAACATGAGACTTGGATGGGGACACAGATCCAAACCATATCACTAGTGAAGGAAAGTACAGCCCTGAGCTCTATGCATACTGACGTAGAGGAAGAAACTCACCAGGGCAGAGAGATTTCTCAGTTTTTGAGTGCAGGGGCCATACAGTTAGTAGAGAGAAACTTGGGCTTTGGAATCTGAGAAGTGTGTGTTCAAGTGCAGCTTTATCATGACTTGGCTGGATGATCTTGGGCAAGTTGTTTAACCTTTTCAGGTCTTGTTTCTTCATCTGTAAAATGGAGCTAATAATAATATTGCCCATCACATTAGGTTGTTGTAAGAATTAAGTGAGGTAGTAAATTAGAATAATGTGGTACATCAGTATATTAATACATGAGATAATAAATATATGAACGTGACGTGGCTTTCCACAGAGTGAATACATGCTTAGCTAGTGATTGTTAGCCATGCATCTGAGTTGGGGGAGACCCAGCCAGTGGGTGACTCTCTGATCAGGTGTCACTCAGTGCTACAGGTTCCCGGCCAGTGTACCTGTAGTAAAAGGGCAGCGGTGGCATCCATACCTCTTAATCCAAGGCAGCTTTGGCCTCAGTGCCTGTGCAGTCTCCTGACTGGCCAACTAGGCTGGGCCACTTGTCAATGGGGTGGATTCGTTTTTTTGTTTGGTTTTCAGCTCCGAGTTCAAAAGCCTGGGAGACCTGCTGGCTTCTCTCCCAGAGCTGGGCCACATATTGTTAACCTGGGCCCTGGAGGTCTGATCAGTGTCCTGGCTGGATCCAGTGCAGTAAGAGAAGCCAAGGAGAAGACAGTCTTCCAAGGCCTGAAGCAGGTCTGACCTAACTGCCCAATGTAGGAGGTTTGCCCTGGGACAAACTGAGGTCCTGCAGGGTTCGAGGGTGAAAGGCCTCTTCTCCCAGGAGGCAGCCCCAGACCCACCTTGCTGAACTGGCTGCCTGGAAAGGAAGTGAGAGCGAAGATCTCAAAAAAGAGCAGCTCTTTAACCTCTGTGCTGCTCTCACTGAACGCTCCCGCCCTCTGCCCAGGACTTGATGGCTTTGGCCCTGGCCCTGGGGCAGAGCGAAGGGAAAGCGTCAGTGCCCTCTAGGGCCGAGAGTGTGGCACTACAGCAAGTGTGTGGTGGGTGCGGCTGACTTGTGCTCTGTGGCTACTACCCATCCCCATCAGAAACCTGGGCCTGTTTCCTTCTCTGGAATGGTGCTGGGACTTTCCAAACCACGGACCTGTAGTGATGAGAGTTGGTGTCTTGAGTCCGCGTCCACCGTCTGCATGCCATGCCTGCCTTCCCACTGCTGGGGGCCCTCAACCCTCCTCCAGTTCCCGTGTCTAAGACTTAGCAACAAGCATCCTTCCTGTGTGTTGGACTGCGGGTCTGCACCATTGTGAGACACGGTCCTATATTGGGCCCTACCTCTATCGGTGCTCGTTGACCTGACTGGTATCACAGTCCTCATCTGGAACGGGGCCAGCCAAGCTCTGGCCACTCCCTTGTCCTGGGACGAAGGCTCAGCCCCTGAGGCCCGGCGAGTAGTCAAGGCTGGCTCTCTGATGCCTGGCTGCTCTGATGCTGGCATCCTGCATGCACTTCCAGCTCCAGCCTTGTCCTGCTCAAATTACCCCTCATTATTGATCTGGTCCATCTGTTGAGTCACCCTCCAATTTTTTTCTTCCACTTTGTTTAATGCCTGGCACTCAAAAGACAGCCAGTAGAAGTATTTGTTTTTCAAAAAATGGACCCTCATTCATTGGTTGCTGATCCCTAGAATCTGTTGTTTTCATACCTCCTTCACTTGTTAAGATTTTCATCTCCTGCCCTGACTTCAGTGGGTACGTCTGGTTTTAAGCCCCGGTCCTCCTTCTCATAGGATCCATCCTCTGTCAGGTGATTGGAGCTGGCTGATGTTCCAGCTTCTGGATGCTGGAAGCCAGCAGCAGCAGCTGCCTGGGTGACAGCCTCACTGTGTGTTGGCAGGCTTCTCACTCACCTTTTTTAATCAATTGGACCTGAAAATCTTGAAGCTAAACAAACACAGCCCTGCTATTTTGGCACAAGATGAAGGCCAGTTTTAAGTGGTCTATAAAAGCTGTGAAAAAAACTTTTAAAAGAGAATTATATCCAGGGCACCCAAGCTGCTTCCAGATGCCAGAGGCAGCCCTGCATTTAATAATATGCTTGCTGGAATCCCTTTAAAATGGTAGATGTTGGCCATCTTTTTCTTTTTTCTTTGCATTCCCAATGGAAGGACTTCCAATGTATGGCCCTGGTATTATTCCCTGTATGTTTTAGAGAAGCTCTAAATTCCTGTAGCCGTCAAACTTGGGTTTTTCACTCAGACTGCATGTTAGGATCATCTGGGGAAATTTAAAAATACTGGTACCCAGGCAGCACCAAATTCCTTCGGTCAGAATCTCTAGGGATTTTTCCTGAATATAGGAACCTTCATAAACAGTTTCCAGGTGGTTTTAATGTCCTGTGAGGGCTGGAACCACCGTACCAGTGAGAGGAGAGCTGGCCTGCCCTGCTCACTGCTGGCAGATGGACTCTTGAGTCACATCTTTGCACACCCAGAAGCTCCAGGCCCACCGTGTACCATGGCTAAGTAGCTGCAACTGCAACCTGGCCTTGGCCTGGAAGCACATCTTGTAGGATCACTGATGTTACTCTCCCCTGGCCTTCCCCTTGTCCTGGAAGATGTGCCTAAGGCTGAGAGACTTCATTGTTTAATTCATCTAGCTGTCTGTTCTGAGAGCCCCCAGCTAAACTGAGGTTCCAGTCCCAGAACAGCTAGCAAACCGCCCTAAGGGGAAATGAAGGGGAGATGGACATGGTATTTACTGCGTGCCTTTCATAGGATGCTGCTTTTACCTGGTAGATGGCCCAATGCCTAGTTGTCTGACCTGTGACCAGGGGCTCCTCGCCTGGGAAACTTGTTTATATGTCTTTGTGGCTCTTGCCTTTCCTGTGTTCAGTTTATGCCCCCCTGCCCATTGCTCTGGCGCTGGGAGCCAAACCTTGTGCTCTCTTGGGCATCCCAGGTAAAACCTGGCCTGGGGCATCCCCTGGTCTTCAGATGGAAGGTGCAAAGGCAATATACACCACAGTAGGAAACAAATTCAAAAAGTGTAATTTACGGATCCTGGGCAGGGAGGGCACAGAGAGTCGGGAGGGCAGTCCTTTGTCCCTGGGCCACTCCAGATAGGAATGAAGCATCATGCAGAGAGAGAGAAACAAGGCACATGGCAACTGGCAGTGTGTATAGGGAGTAGGGTCTGGGCCACTGTAAGTTTTCAGGCAAATGTGTGAATGGCCTGTTTAAAGGAAGCAATGGGGAAGCAGGGAGCCCAGTCTGCTAGTCAGGGGAGATGTCTCTCAGTTTTTATCTCTCGCCACTGGCTTGAGCCATTGGGTGTGGTTTCCTTCTAATGCCTGGGCAGCTGTGTCATTCCCGTTACAGTCACCACATGATTCTAATTGCCTTAGAATTTATAGGAACCAGTTGGCAGCCCAACAAGTGGGCTCCTCTGGCCAGTGAGGGAGCCTGGTGAGGGAATCTTCCCAGGACAGGCAGAGACATCTGCCTGGTTCTTAGATTGGCCATCTTTGGTCTCACCTCAGTTTGGATATATTTTTTTTTTATCTCACCTGCCCCCTTGTTATCTGCTTCCAAGAAGCAAACAGCTCAAATAATTATTTATTTTAAAATAACATAAGAGGATGTCTCTGATACTCCAAAAGCCTTTTTTTTTTGAAAAAAAAAAAAAAAGGATGGTTCTATCCAATTTGGCATTTCATTTATAGAGAATAAAAACTATCTATACCCAAAATGTATTCATTGCACACAATTGTATTTTAATGGCAGCTGGAAATCTTCTCTCCTAACTGATGCTTTTGGGGAAAATAAGAACATTTGGACAATAAACTAGATTTTCTAGATAAACACAAAATGGGTGAATTTCACACATCCAATAATGAAAGTAGTTTTTTCCTTAAATTAGAAACAAGGATTTAAATTTCCGTCTTCTTCTGAATGAATATTTGGCACCCAACCAAGAAATATATATCATTTTAAATTTTCTTGAGGAAATATCCTTTTCTTGCATAATTAATTTAAAGGAAATTAAATTGACCATGTCAATTGTCAAACAAGGAAAAGTAAGAATTTTGCTTATTTGTTATTAATTTTATTTACAATAGTATTTAAAGGTAACTTTGTAAAATAACCCCTAATGATATAATCTAAAATAAAATAGATTGTATTTAAATCACTTTTTTATTATATACCACGAAAAACTACTGAATGATTAAAACATTCTTAAGTGGGTTCTTAACATTGTATGGAACTGGAAAGAGCAGTTCAGATCACAGAGGCATGGGCACTGTGTTCTAAGTGGTCACTGCACTGATTCAGAACAGCAGGGGCTGGCTCTGTACTGGGTGGGTGGGTGCTCAAGGCCAGACCTACACAGTGCTCCTGTGTCTGCAGCTGCAGGGAAGCAGGAGAAACAGTGACGATGGTCCAGGAGAGGCCACCTGACATATGGCAGAAAAACAAAATTCAGGGTACAGACAGTGGCTGGGAGCATCAACTCAATCGCTTTCTTTCTTTACTATTTTCCCTCTTTCTAAAAAAGTCTGTGATTTAGATCAGTGGCTGCAGGAGGGAGACAAGAGACCCAGTAAAGATGTTTTCAAAGATGATGCCTATCTGGTGTGAAAAGAAATGAAGACCTACCCAAAGAGAATAAGCACAAGCTATTATGCAGAGCTTGCTACAGCAAGGGAGTCAGACACCATCATTTGCAATTTGGCAGAGACTCAAAGGTGGGCAGACGAGTGGGAGAGCTTTATAGTGGAAAAAGGCGAAGGCTTCAGGTGTGCCCTGATTGGAGGTTATCAATGCGGGGAAGCTGGAGGCGGCTCACTAGAAGCGAACATCCTGTGTGCTTGGTCAGGGGACCATATTTGGCTTTCTCTGGTGGGTCCTAAGTTGGAATCGGGGACAAAAATTAGGGAAGCCATCAGTTATTAATCCAGTCCTGAACATTTTGAGTCAATTGTTACAGAAGTTATTATTTAGCTTCCTGGATAGTTACTAGAGAGCAATTTGGCTTCCAGCAGGTCTGATTTAGAGCAGGCCAGCTTCCGGGGTTGCTTTTTGTGGGTAAGGGTATTGTTTTCTGGGAAAGTTGCTGCACCTTGTGGATCAGAGTTCCATCTTTTGCTATGGCCTGGCTGTTGTCCGATTGTATATTTAGTCAGTCACCAGGCACCACATTTTCTCAAGCTGTTGGAAAGTTCTGTGTGTCCAGTGTTATCTTCCCCTTGTATTCTATGAAATATATGGCTGTCTGAAATGTTTGATGTGCAAAGCCAGCCATGGGGCTCTGCTCACAGCAAATGCTTTTGGCTATCTCAGGAAGTCATGGTGACTGGAAGAAATGCACAACCCTGACAGAAAATGGCAAATTCTAGCTGAAGGGACCTCCAGGGAGAAGGGGGTTGGGGAGGGGAGCAGTTGGCTGGGGCTTCTTGGCCGCCTCCATTGCCCTTTGGTTCAGCCAGCCCAGGCTCACAGCAGATATCCTTGACCTCGCCAAGGGAAGGCTCTGAAAGACAAAGGTAGATCTTGATCTTGCTTAACTGTGCACTTGAGCTTGCAGTTCCTTGAAAGATCTGGTGTCACGCAAGACAAATTATACAGCAGTCTACTATTTCTGGAGTTTGATCATTCTCAGCACTGGCTTTATTTCTTTTTTTCCACTAAAGAAGTATAGTTCAAATGTGGATAGGTGAAAGTAGATAATCTTAGGAGGATCGTTACAAACTGAAATGTCCATGAGTTCAGGAAAGTGCCATGTGTGTGAGGGGTACCCCAGGTGAGAGGCCTGAGGATTGGGCAGGTGAAAGGGACCATGTGGGCACAGGATTCATCCCCCTCACCATGTGCTTTCTCACTTTAGTGATGATTTCTACCCAGGTGTTGACTAAGTCACTTATTGACATGAGATCAGAAGAAACAAGTTCAAGTTCAGCAATCTCGCATGGGATCTTAGAACTCTGAAACTCTGTGACCTTCACAAGGTTACCTCTGGGTCTAGATTTTTTAACTGGAAATCAAGGACAATCATTAAGAGACTCCCCTTCCTGGATTGTTGGGAAGATTAAATGATACAATCCAAGTAATGAGAGCATTGTAGTCTCTAAAATTGGATTCTCAAATAATGACCTCAGGTGAAGGAAGAACTGTTCAAAATGCCCCAGGTGCTATGAAGTACAGAGGGCAGGTATTTTTTTTAAGGGATGGGGTCTTGCTCTGTTGCTCAGGCTACAGTGCAGTGGTATGATCATGACTCACTGCCACCTCAAGCTCCTGGGCTCAAGTGATCTTCTCACCTCAGCCTCCCAAGTAGCTAGGACTAAAGGTGCATACCACCATGCCTGGCTAATTTTTTAATTTTTTTGTAGAGATGGGGGTCTTGCTATGTTGCCCAGGCTGGTCTCCAACTCCTCAAGCAACCTTCCCATCTTGGCTTGCCAAAGTGCTGGGCTTACAGGTATGAGCCACCACACCTGGCTGATATTTGAATTCAGAGATGCTGAGGATAAGTAATGTTGGAACAGAGTGGGTAAAGTCAGCTTCAGCATAAATTGTGTTTATTTAATTTAAACACAATTTAAATTTTGTGTTTTGGCTATCTCAGGAAGTCATGGTGACTGGAAGAAATGCACAACCCTGACAGAAAATGGCAAATTCTAGCTGAATTTTAAATTGTGTTATTTGCGGAATAAAATATGTGGACAAGTGCTTTAAAAAACCTATGAGAATACCCAGGTTTCATTCCCTTGTTGAAGAGCAGGCGGGCACAGGCATATTGGGATGCCATAGGTGGCATATTCTTCTCCACACACATCCTCCTTGGCATTTAGAAAGGGCCTGTGAAAGTTATGAAGATTCAGGTCACAGATCTCTGATGGGACTTTCTTCAGGTATCAGCATTGACTTTCCAAATTTTCATCACTGAGCTCCTGACCAATTTCAGCAGTCAGAGAGGTCTGCATCAAGCAAGGTCTTGGTCTAAGCCTCATGGGATTAGATCTGAGGTCAAAATGCCTATAAAGTATTGATCAAGGGCATTGTAGCATTTTCTCATGGCTTGGGTCTTGATATGAATGGTCTCTTTGGGAATTCACACTCACTCTGCTCTTTTAAAATGTTCACTTTTATCACTGTGCATTTTCCCAAGCCTTATCCCTCAGGATCAAAGAAAGGGCCTAGGCTTTAATTAATGATCTCTCCTATGTTTTACCAAGGGCACTGGTCTCTCGAGCTTGCAGTGGGTTGCAAGGGATTAGAGGGTGTATTTGCAGCAAAACTTCTGTACCGGCACTCGCTCTGTATATATAGTCTCTTCCAATCTGCTTTTAGAGATCTTTTCTTTCTGACTGTTTGCAGGAGGACATGGCACGCTGTGGCATATTCTGCCTGATGTCTCTGGAGGCATAGTTGGTGCCCATCCCACTTTTTATTAACTCTCTTGGTTGAAAACACAGCCCAGAAGACATGTTGGGACTTCATAAGCACAGCCTAAGGAGGAACATTGGAAGGTACAACATTGTACATGTGGCCACCCTGCCCCAACGCAGTCACACCTCTGTGCTGGTCCTCCTGCGAGCTCCCCAGAGCATGGGGTCCCTTGAGGTTCTTTGTGGCATGCGGTAGGGGGCTCGATCCTCAGCTTCCTTGACTTGGCCATTGTTCAGGATGGAAATTACCGATCCGGGAAAAGTTTTATTTGAGGTTACTGTTTACAGCTTGAAGCTCATGGAAGTGCAGTCTGCTCTCCTGTGGACTTTGTGGGTTTTTCCTAAATGGGTCCAACCCATCAGCTTGGCATTTGGGGCACTATTGTTTTGAAGCAACTTCCTTGTGAGTTTAGTCTCACCTCCTACCCCTTGCCCATTGCTCTCTAACCTGGGTTCCTGTTTCTTCTTTTGGGACTCTTATATTCTTCCCTCCTGAAATCTGCCTCAGTCTCTCCTTCTGGAATAATCTCTCTTCTCCTCTGACCTCTCCTAGTATTTGTTTTTTCTTTGGAAGGCACCTTATCCCCTTTATTTTATGGTAACTTCCTGGAGAGCAGGAGCAGTACTTGTTCTCTTTTGTGCTTGTCATGTTGCTTAAAACACATGAGTGTTTTAAGCAGTGAGAGACAAACACATGAGTCTCAATAGGGTCTTTATCCAATCATGGCATTGGAAACTATGGACTTCAGTGACAGATGTTATGTGCTAGGTTTCAGAATGCCTTTAAGGTGGGAAAACATTTTGTATCATTTTCAACATTTGTATCAGTTTGAAATCTGCCTGCTAAGTAACAATAAAAAAGTTAGCAACATAATTTATGTTTAAAAGGAAGTGTTCTGGGGTGATGTTCGAGTTGGAAACTTGCCCTATGCTTTACTGCATTGTGATCTTCAGCAAGATATTTTAGTTCTCCAGATTTCCGCTTTCCCAGCTGTAAAAGGAGACAACAATATGAATTTCAGTGAACATAAAAAGCACCCATTATTTTATACATTGCAAAGAAAGAAAAATTGCTGTCAATTAAGCAGTAACAGTGCTTTCTATGGTTTAGAATTTTTATCTTATACTTAACTGATATAGCTCTTTTAGATGTATTTAGGCTTTTGAAAAATCACATATCACTCATTAAAAAGGAAAATAAATTGGTTAAGGTTTTCCTTGGCATCTTCTTCTTCATTCTGAGTCTTCCGAAACACATTTGGACTCAATGTTGTCGAGGTTTGTGTTTCCCCACACGTCATCATCCTGTGAACCATTGAAGTTGATGGGAGGCAACTTTTTCTCCCCCAAGAATAAAGAGTTTTCTGTAGGATTGTCTGCCAAACTGCTAACACCTTTCTTCAAGTTTTGAATGCTGGTGCTTTCCCAGTCTTACAAATCCACATCAACACAAGATTTTCAGGCAACAGCCAGTACGCAGATGGTCCTAAAATAGTTTGTACATTGAAACACCAGGGGGTTGCAGATGGTCAGCCAGGCCAGGGAAAATAATCCAGTTATAACCACTGCATCCTGACCACTTCCTGGCTGATGGTGATTGTAGGACACATCCCTGTTTCAGAGATGTTAAAATGTAAAATAATAATAATAATAATAATAATAATAATAATAATAATAATATAAGATATAACCTGTTTCCTAAAGTTGTGATGACATTTAAAGGTGAGAAAGTTTGTAGCTATTATTGTGATTATGGTTACTATAAATTCTGAGAAAACACAGTGGGGTTTTCTAATTAACACTAACTAATTTATGGGACACTCATTAATGTTATATATTTATTTATTGTTCAATGTTCATGCTTAAAAATTTCTTAATTTTTCCTCTTTTTAATTGAGGTATGGTTTATATTCAGTGGAATGCACAGGTCTTAAGTGTTTACAGTTCTTGAATTTTGACACCTGTGTTACGAACAGCCCTACCAAGAGATAGAACAGTCTCATCACTCAAGAAACAACACCCTATCTTGTCCCAGTCATCATCGTCCCTCCTCTGTTCTGATATCTTCTACCATGGATTAATTTTGGCTGTTCTAGAACTTAATGGAATCATGTGGCACTACTCTTTTGCATCTTTTCTAAAGACATGTACATGTTGGCTGGGCGCGGTGGCTCACGCCTGTAATCCCAGCACTTTGGAAGGCTGAGGTGGGTGGATCACGAGGTCAGGAGTTTGAGAACAGTCTGGCCAACATGGTGAAACCCCGGCTCTACTAAAAAATACAAAAATTAACTGGGCGTGGTGGTGGGCACTTGTAATCCTAGCTACTTGGGAGGCTGAGGCAGGAGAATAGTTTCAAACTGGAAGGTGGAGGTTGCAGTGAGCTGAGATCGTACCACTGCACTCCAGCCTGGGCAACAAGAACAAAACTCTGTCTCAAAAAAAAAAAAAAGAAAGAAAGAAAAAGACACATACATGTTGCTGCATGTATGACGAGTTTGTTTCTTTTTATTGCTGAGTAGTCTTTCATTGCATAGCTATAGTATTATTTTTGCATCTTCCTGCTGATGGATATTTAGGTTGCTTCCAGTATGGGGCTGGCTCTCAGGCATAAGACACTGTGACCATTTATTTGAGTGCAAATATTTTTGATGACATGTTTTCATTTCTTTTGTGTAAATGCCTGGAAGTAGAATTGTTGGATTAAAGGGTAGGTATACATTGAACTTTATGAGAAACTGGCAGAACTTTTCTTGAAGGGACCATTTTACATGCGTGAGAGTTCCAGTTGCTCCATACCCTTGTGAATGTTGACATTTTTAGTTGAGTTAATTTGAAACATTTGAGTGGGCTTGTAGTGGAATATTTATGGTTTTAATTTTTCTTTTCTTAATGATTAATGATGTCAAATGTTTTTTCATATGCTTATTAGCCATTTGTGCGTCTACTTTGTAAAATGCCTGTTAAGTCATTTGACCATTTTTCAATGGCACCATTTGTGTTTTAATTGTCAAGTTGTAGTATTCAATTCCTTGTCAGTTAAACATAATGCAATGATTTTCTCCAAGTCTGTGACTTGTCGTCTCATTTTTTAGTTGTGTCTTTTGATGAGAAGTTTTTAATTTTGATAAAGCCCATTTATCCTTTTTAAAATAGTGTTTTCTGTATCTTATCTGAAGTTCTTGCCTACTCCAAAGTCAATCAAATATTCATTTTTTTTTTGTAGAAGCTTTATAGTTTTAACTTTTACATGTAGGCCTGTGATCCACCTTTAATTAAATTTTTGTGTGGTTTGAGGTATGAATCAAGGTTAATATTTTTTCCATGTAGATAGCTAGTTGTTCCAGCACCATTTATTGAAAATACTTTCTTTTCCTCATTGACTTGCTTTGGCACTTTGGTTGGCTGTATATGTGTTAATCCACTCCTGGACTGTTTATTCTATTCCATCGATCTGTTTGTCTATGTATATTCAATGCCATATTACCTTGATTTATAGTGGCTTTAGCATTAGTCTTGAAACCAAGACTCACTTTTTAAGGATTGCTTTGGTCATCCTCCTCCTCCTCTTCCTTCTTCTTCTTTCTTCCTATTCTTCTTCATTCTTCTTCGTCTTCTCCTTCCTTCCCTCCCTCCCTCTTTCACCTCCTCCTCCTCCTTCTTCTTCTTTCTCCCTCTCCTTCTTTGAGGTGGGGACTTGCTATGTTGCCCAGACAAGAGTGTAGTGCCTGTTCAAAAGTGCAATCATAGTGCACTACAGCCTCAAACTCATGGGCTCATTCTTCTAGATTTTATTTGTTTAGATATGAAGTCTCACTCTGTTGCTCAAGCTGGAGTGCAGTGGCAGGATCTCAGCTCGCTGCAACCTACACCTCCTGGGTTTAAGTGATTCTCCTGCCTCAGCCTCTTGAGTAGCTGGGATTACAGGTGCTTACCACTGTGCCAGATTAATTTTTATATTTTTAGTAGAGATAGGGTTTCGCCATGTTGGCCAGGCTGGTCTTGAACACCTGACCTCAAGGGACCCACCACCTCGGCCTCCCAAAATGCTGGGATTACAGGTGTGAGCCACCATGCCCAGCTCACTCTTAGACGTTTTAGAATAAGCACATAAATTTCTACAAAAGAACCTCATAACATTTTGATTGGAATTATATTAAATCAATGAATCAATGTGGGGAAAATTGAAATCTTACCAATATTGAACTTCCAGTGTATGTATACAGTGTATCTTTTAAATTATTTGTCTTTAATTTGTCTCAGCAGTTTTTGAAAAATAGTTTTCACTGTAGAGCTCTTGCACATATTTAAAGAAAGTATCCCTCAGTATTATGAGATTTAAAATATTTTGTAAATTGTATTTTTTAAAAAATCATCTTCTAGTTTTTTGTTATTTAGACATAAGATTGATGTTTGTACATTGACCTTGTATCCTGCAATCTTGCTACATTTAATTTATCATATATTTTTCTCAGTGCTTTACAGAATTTCTTGTTTATTCTTGTAACTACCTATGAGTCAGGTGTTATTGCAATTATATTTTATAAGAAATTTGCCCCAGATGTGCTAATTTTCTTGCTCCAGGTCACACAGTTTGAGTAACAGGGGAGGAATTTAATTTAGGTCAACTCTGATTATATGGCCCAGTCCCCTTCCACACTGCTATAATATGTCATCTCTTTGACATTTGTATATTATTGGAATGGAGTGACACATTGTGGTTTCTCTGGATTCCACTGGGACATTTTTGGGTCATCATACTTTACGGGAGATGGCTTCACCAATGGAACTCCTAAAATGGACATAACAAGAATAAGGTGATAAAAAAGACGGTGATTTTTCCAGTTTAAGGAGAGCAATATTTTTCCAGGTTCTTTCCCCAGAGGACTGCTAAGGAAATTGTACATAATCTCAAAGTGCAGTTTCTTTGCCCATGCTGTGAATGTACATTAGCTGCTGCTAGATCTTCCATGTGTGTGGATGCTGTAAAGCTTGTTTTCCCTTCTTCTCTCCCACAACGTGCTGTAGGAAACCATTTCTGGACGGCTAAAGACCTCACCGAGGAGATTAGATCATTAACATCAGAGAGAGAAGGGCTGGAGGGACTCCTCAGCAAGCTGTTGGTGTTGAGTTCCAGGAATGTCAAAAAGCTGGGAAGTGTTAAAGAAGATTACAACAGACTGAGAAGAGAAGTGGAGCACCAGGAGACTGCCTATGGTAGGTAGTGCACAACTGTTCCCCGGCAAGATATTGATGATATTTGTTGTGTTTTGTGGCCAGGCAGAATGTTCTGTGCCTTATGTGAACGTCACTGTGAAGAGCGTCATGGAGCACATGGCCCTTTTCCTTGGGGACATTTTTGGCAGGTGCCTTGGCAAACCGAATGGAATTACTTGTCAGCTTTTGTTTTCATATTCACATGTGACATCTTTTCTTTTTCTGTTCCCTGTCTCAACCTGTGTTTGCTAATAGCCTTGTTATTATTTAGAGCAGTCTCTCCCTTGGCAAGGTCTTGAGCATTTTCTTTGTGTGACAATTATCTTCCTTTTGTCCCTTGGCTCCGTCTCCTTGTCTGCACAATCATAGACTAAATCAGGCTGATCTGAGAAAATTGAGGGAAGACCATAAAGTGGCTCTTCTATGTGTGGACTTTTCTGAGAGCTTCTTTCCCCAGGAAGGATGATGTAGAAGATGTGAATGCCGCCTTAGCCAAAGTGTCTGCTTGTCAGAGGAGTTCAAGTGTTCCTGTGTTCTTTCCTTTTCCAGTCGTTAGGAGTAACTGAGCTTACTCTGAGATTTGCACCCAGAGGGATGGTCTCAGAAGACGCTGGTTCAGTGCAAATTGAGATGGTAAAAACTTATTTCTTAAAAAATGGTTCCTAAATAAATGTCATTTACTAAAACAAATGAAAGAAATATATATATGAATAAATGGCTATATTTTACAAAGTATGCTTATTTAAGAAGAAATAAGAAAAAACGGGGCTGATAGGAACCAGATTTGAAATAGGGCTTTTGTAAATACTCCGTAAATTGAAGTAAATGAAGAGTAGTATTTATAAGCTAGATTGAGAAATATAAAATCAGCTAGCTGAAGTTAAGTGCATCAATTTGGGATGAATAAATTTTCTTTTAAAATGTCTATCAATTTGTGTAGAGAGAGGTTTCTTCATAGAGATATTAGAATCAAAGAGTATGTTCAGTAGTTATTCTGTCTTCTTTGTAATGAATACCCTTAAGTTGGCTTAACAGCTCAGTACTTATCTTTTTTTCTTTTCATTCTTAAAGGTCAAGCCTTGTTTTTGCCGTATATGTAACTAGAGACAGTACGTTTGAGGCTAAATAACTGTAGTACTAGGGAATGACAACACGCTCACCCAAGACACCGCAGCCTGGTTTACTCTGTCATGATAGGAATGAGGATTGTACATTTGAAATAGGTTTCTGCTATTGATTTTTTAAATGTATAAACGATGGAAACTACGGAATTTCTCATGTTTTCACCACATAGTTTTTTGTCATAAAATGAAGAATATATTATATCCAAGAATGAAGAGGAAGTGAACAAATTTGAGCAAATTTAGTCCAGCAATATTTTCATTTGAATAGTTGAGCCCCTGAAAGCCATTAATATCTCTTTTTAAAAAAAGAACCATGCAGTATTTTTGAATCTCATCATCGTCACTTCACTAAGTATTTTCACAATGATGAATAAAACATAAACAAATGGAATGAGAGATTGTTACCATGGATGATTCTAAATTGCAGATGGCTCATTACTGTTGTGAAGCCTCTCTTTATGTTTTTACACTTGGATTTTGCTGGATCAGCCACCCTTTCCCTATACATTGATTTACACGTGCTTAATTTTTTTTAACCAATTTGAGGTGAGTTGGCTTTAGGTGAACCAAATTAATAATCTAGGGTTGAGAGTGTGGGAAACAAATAAATAATGAATTCCTGAATACATTGAAGCTTTTATTTATTAAAATGTGATAAAACTGGGGCAAAGTCCATATTCAGCTTTTTTTGTGTTTTGAGGGTTAAAAATTCAGAGGGAGCTCTGTGTTCAAGTTTAAATGTAGAGAAAGTACAAAGGAGAGTGTACTTATGCACATACACATATGCATGCATGTACCATGACTCTTTTTAGCCTTAGAGAATGAAACCATTTAAGAAATGAGCAATATGTAGTATTCTTAAAAAAAGATTTTGATTTCCAACAATAGTTGTGGAATGCAGCGTTCAGGGGAAAAAGGCAACTCATGGATGATCAAGCCACCCTGCTTGTCAGGAACCCAGACTCTTCTATCTTGTTCTTCTCTGCCCCACAACATGTGCCATTCAGTCCAACCTGGCTGACCCAGCCACATGCATGTCCAAGTCCAGTCAGAAAAAAAACAAAGAAGGAAGAGAGCTCATCTATCCCCTTTAAGTACGCTTTTAGAAATCTGCACACATCTCTGCTACGGCCACATCCCTGTGACCTTAACCTTGTTATATGGTAACAGCTACTTGCAAGAGGGGCTGGGAGCTGTCCTTACCCTGGGCAGCAATGTGCCCCACTAAAGTGATGAATTCTGTTTCCATAGCAAAAGGGGAGATTTGCAGTCTTAGGGAACAATTAGCAGTGTCTCTCGTACAGAGACCTTTTAATGATGTGAAGTGTATCTCTAATGATGCACCTGAGATGAATTTGCTGCATGCATCACTTAAAATATCATTGTATCTTGTGTCTCTGGCTAGATTGTGAGTCCACCGAGGTCAGAACATTGTTCTTAGGTTTCACTGTACTGCTTTGGTGTCCAGCATGATGTCTTTTAAAATAGTAAATATACTATACCATCAATATTTGTTCATTTACTGGGGCCAGATGTTAAAATGACACATGAATGAGTCCTCTCTTCCTGCATTTTAGATTGCAGATCTGGACCTTGAATCTTCTGCTTCTTTATTCATTTTCCAAATTAATGAGGGTAGTGATAAGTTTGTCTTTCTTGGAAGGTGCTTGAGTTGTCTGAGTTGGATATTCAGTTTGGAGTGTCAGTAATAGAACAATACGGTGATAGAAAAGGAACTGAAATATGCCAAGGTACTCAAGGGCAAAGGGAGACAGACCTCATCACCGAATCCATTGGCTTTTGTTGCCAAGACACAATCTCTATAAAGAGATGATAAAGAAGTGTGCTTTAACTCCTGTCAGCTGTTCTTGAGACTTCAGGATAACACATTTGAATTCGGAGCAATGTTAAGTGCAGTGAAATAGAAGGAAAAGCTAAATCTATCTTCCAAGCCTTGAATATTTATGGAAATTAACTATAAACATTTAATTATTGTGGATTCCAATGTGTGTGTTTATTTAAAGAAGGGTGGAATGAAAAAAATCAGCAACTTTTACAGTTTGCTACATCTGCTTTTTTTTTTTTTTTTGAGACAGAGTTTTGCTCTTGTCACCCAGGCTGGAGTGTAATGGTGCGATCTCTGCTCACTGCAACCTCCGTCTCCCAGGTTCAAGCGATTCTCCTGCCTCAGCCTCCCAGGTAGCTGGGATTATAGGCCAGCTAATTTTTATATTTTTTTAGTAGTGACGGGGTTTCACCATGTTGGCCAGGCTGGTCTCAAACTCCTGACCTCAGGTGATCCACCTGCTTAGGCCTCCCAAAGTGCTGGAATTACAAGCGTGAGCCACCGCGCCCGGCCTACAACTGCTTTTCAAGTTAAAAGGACAGCCCTCAGATTTACGCAGCAGTTTTTCACCATCCCTTGTGTATAAATTGGTAATCTGTATTGTACTTTATTAATATTGTTGATTTCGCACTGTAACTCAGCTATAAAGGAAACCGACGTCAAGGGGAGAGATTTAATCACAGAATAATCAGGACTAGAATTTTAAATAGGACATCATTAGCATGTTAATGAATTTTCCCACCTTATGCCAGCTGCCTGAGTAGAAAAGATACTGCAGATGTAGCTCAAAAATCTGGCTGGTTCCCTGGCCCAGTGAGCTGTCAGGAATCTGTGTAGGGTGATCCATAAGCTAAGTGAAGGGATTCTAAGTGAGAATACCAAGCAGCAAGATTTTGTTTTTCTGAGAACGATGGCTAACTGTGCCCAGCCTAAACTCATTTGTCTTTCGGTGAGTAAGAGGGGAATGGGAGGCAGAGAAGGGGCAGTTGAAGGGCAATGAGGTTGGAGTAGAGGCACCTTTCCAATTATGGTTTGGGATTAGGACCTTTTGCTTTAGATAGAAAAGTTGTAAGTTCGCAATGACAAGATCCTGCCCTAATTCTTGGCACAGTCTCACAATTTTTGAGCTTGAAATAGCTAATGAAAGGAAGCATGAGTGTCTTAGTCCATCTGCGTTGCTATAGAGGAATACCTGAGGCTGGGTCATTTATAAAGAAAAGGGAATTCTTTGGCTCACAGTTTTGCAGGCTGTCTAAGAAGCATAGTGCCAACATCTGCTTCTGGTGAGGGCCTCAGGCTGCTTCCACTCATGGCAGAAGATGAAGGGGAGCTGGCCTAGGCAGATCACTGGTGAGAGAGGAAGCAAAAAGAGAGAGAAGGGACATGACACACTCTTTTTAACAACCAGCTCTCCCAGAAACTAATAGAGTGAGAACTCACTCATTGATGACCAAGCTATTCTTGAGGGATCTGCCCCCAGACCCAGACACCTCCCATTAGGCTCTACCTTCAACATTGGGGGTCAAATTTCAACATAAGGTTTGGAGGTCAAAGAAAAGAAACTATAGCAGTGACAGATTATACTGAGATATCGGTTTAACTCTGAAGTTCCCAGATGCAGCTACTTGCAGAATTTCACTTCACACCTATTAAGAAAAGTCTTTTAGTTTAGAAATCCTGTGAGTTACAAGTTCTGCATATATAGGCAGTAATTCTTTTTTCCATATATGTCAGATATATGTAGAAGAAACTGATGAAAAAGTAGAACAAAAGAATAAAATCTATGGGTCTCTTTTATTGGCAGGGAGAGGGAGGAAATGGAGAGCCGGGACAATACATACAACAAAGATAAAAACAATAAAATTAGCAAACAACAATAAAATTTAAAAACAAAGACAGAAGAAAATGCCAATGTCAAGTGTTAATTATTTGGTTGAGAATATGATGTGATAATGAACTTCCTAGAAGTCACAGCAAAGAAGACAGTTGAAGCATCATCCTTCTTCCTCAAAAGCACCTTGAAAAGCACAGAGCTTTTTGGGAATTCAGAGTGATGCTAAATTCTTCAAGACACTTCTCTTGAAAGCATAGTGGAAAGTCCTCCTGAACAGATTTATAACACATGCAGAAAGCTCTTTTACTTGTATTATTATTTTTTACAACTTTTTATTTTAGGTTCAGGAATACATGTGCAGGTTCTTTATATAGGTAAATTGCATGTCATCGGGGTTTGGTGTCCAGAATATTTTATCACCCAGGTGATAAGCATGTTATCCGATGGTTGTGACCAACTACCTCTAGGAAAAAAACATGTTGGGGATCCCTTCAAAGCAGGAGGGACTGTGCACAGGAGAGACTGAAACCACATACACATTTTAGATATGTAGGTATGGACAGTTTTTCCCACAAAAAGATCCAGTTTTTCAGCAGATTTTTAAAGGGGTCATTCTAAGAGTCCTCAAATTTTAAGAAACATTAAGATATTAAACTGTCGAGGTGAATTAGGGCTTGGGCTAGTGAAGTTTAAATACGGCATCTTCCAATTTCTGACATTATTTCAAGATGTAACTTAGCACCTAAAAAGTGGCTGGAGAACATATCCTGTACACTCACCAAATGTCACTTCTTTCCTCTGAGCTTTGGCTACGACCTATGTATAAGAAAACTTAGCTCTCCGGGCCAGAACGGTGATAGTGCTCTTGATAACAGAGGGCCAAGCCGTCTGCTTTGGAACCAGATGAGTGTTGCGGTGCTATGTGGCAAGAAATGTAGATGTTTATATGGGAAATAGATATGTGTCTGCCTTTCCAAATTCGAAATCTTTGGTCATTTAGATTTAAAAAAAAATGTCAAATAGGATCTTTTGGAAGAAATAAAAAAAATTCAAAATCTTTTCCCTCAGGTTTTTCTGATAGGCTGAGGTTTTAAATCTCTAATCATTTATCTTTGATTTGCCTTATTGATTACATTATCACTTTATCAGGACCCTGACTAAATCTGTTTGTGTTTTTAATTTCTCTCCATTTTTTCCTTTCCAGTTACATCCTTGCATCACTATTAGTGTGATTATTTCCCTTCAGCCATTTTTGCCTGTGAATTTCTAAGCTTGAAATTTGCAGCTAACTTTCTCCCTCCTTTATTAAGTCGCTGTGATAATTCTTTTGGGAGGCATCGCCATACAGTGGAAAAAGCCTGGATTAGGATGTAGGGGGTGTCAGTTTAATCTCAGTCCTGCCCTTCCCTAATCATCTGCATAGCACCTGATATATATAGCATCAGAATGTGAGGCTCAATGAGTGAATAGTCTTCAGCAACTCACTGAATTTTATCTGAGTCTCAGTTGCTTCATATGTAATACTGTAGAACCAGATCTTGAAGTTGCATTTCTATCCATCCATCCATCCATCCATCCATCCATCCATCCACCCATCCATCCATCCTTTCCACAAGCATTTATTGAGTACTTACGATATGCTAGGCGCTGTGGCAGGCCCTCATGGTCCAGAGATGAATTAGATAGTCCCTGTGGCTACTGAGGTCCCTTTTAACTCTAGCCCCTTGTATGTGAATTTCCACAATTCAATTTATACTTTGTTCATTTATTTTCTTGCTCTCAGCTACTTTTGATCTCCTTTTCCCACTTTTATCCATATATATTTTTAAAAGTCCCTACTATTGTTACATCTTTTTTCACTTGTCTCTCTACTTGTTTCTATACTCCCTTAAAATACGTAAGTCACTTACCCCCTGGGTGGAAATACAATGATGTTTTCAATTATATTTCATACCAAATTGCAACAGGCAGTTTTTTTTAACATGCTAATTCATTTAGAGCAGAAACTTGACTCTATGTAATAGGGTGGGTACATGTGTCTCTTAAATATCTGCCAGATTTTCTGCTTTGTAGATTATTCTTACTAATCAGTGCGTATTAGAGTCTCTTTGTACATTTCATATGGACTCTGGGCTTTGATAATGTTGGTAGACACATGTACTCACACACGCTCATATAATGTCCTGAAGATTAAGCTAAGAGTGATGGTAAGTGGAACTTCATGATCTTAAAGAAGAGCCTGTTTGCCATGTTTTGGGTGAGGGGATTATTTTTTGCATGGGGACCCTATCATGTATTGCAGAACATTTCACATCCCTGGTCATTGCCTGCATCCAACTCTTCTTCCCACCCCCATTTTTCAATGCCCCCAGGTAGGAGTGGTACCACCCTCAGTTAACTGCATAACTTCAGCCTAATGCTTTATGTTTTAGTATCATTCCTATGATTTGAAAATATGTTGTCATGATCATTAGAACTTGCCTGGAATTAATAAAACCAAATTCTATTATTCACATTATCTTTCATATAGATCCTTAGAGGTTTAAATATAAGTTCTTTGCAGATTTCTTCCTCCATTGCTCTTTACTGTGTATATTCAGTATGTATTTCTTGGGCACAGATTTCTGTATGCACAGATGAGCTACAGCTATTGTGGATTTAATGTTTTCTTTGAAGAAAAGGAATGATCCCTTGTACGAAGTCACCCTCTTTTTAGTAACAAAGACTTATCTCTTTCTTTTTGTTTCTCAAGCACTTGAGAACTAAGCACTGTGCTAAGACTTGACATACTTTAGTCATCTCATCCTCTGGACCACTGTGGTACTGGCTCCACTGGAATCTCTGTTTTACCGATGAAGAAGCTGAGGTTTAGGAAGGATCCTGTCACAGAGCCTTCAGGGGGCAAGGCCACCATCTGAATCCCTCTTACCTGCCATTTTACCTTTGACGTTGCTTTATGTTCTTTATGAATTTGATTCCTAACGTCAGTCTCTCTATCCATCCCGCAACCTCATCACCCTACCTAAATACCACACTCATAGATTCATAATTACAAAACAAAAGTCTACAAAAAGTCATCTATTGATGATGTTGAACATCCTGAAAAGACGGGTATTTTTTTTTCATTTTTGAAGTTTTCAAGCACCCTCCCTATATTTTGTGCCTGAGATGATGATCCACTATCTGCCATGTTGCTATAGCAGATGGATAATTTAACTCAGTAGTAGGAGGTTCTATAGGTTATCACCCTATGAAACTCATATCTTTTGTATTAAAACCTCAATTCTTTATTTTCGAAGGGTGACTAGGAGAAACTTGGCATACTACCATAAATCAGAGAGAAGTTGAACTATAGCAATTTAATTGGATACATATTCATTGACTTCAAACCAGTTTTTTGTATATTTTCAAATAACTGTTGCTAGTTCTGCTTCCTGTTCTAAAATGCTGAAATGGCAATCTTTTCCTTTGTATTCCTATAAGTAAATGCATTGGTTATTAGATTGATACATTACTCAGTTCCTGGTAAAGAAGTAGTTAGAAGCCCTGTTTGCTTTTAAGAATTTACTAATTTGTCATCCTTTTGATTACAAGGAATTCAATTTGCAACATGTGATGTCAATCTTTCTAGGCTTCTTTTGAGTGAGTTTTGAACTTTAGTTAAATAAAACAACTTTTTTTTTTTGAGACAGAGTCTCAGTCTATTGCCAAGGCTGGAGTGCAGTGGCACGATCTTGGCTCACTGCAACCTCCACCTCCCGGGTTCAGGCAATTCTTTGCCTCAGCCTCCCGAATAGCTGGGATTACAGGCGCCCGCCACCATGCCTGGCTAATTTTTGTATTTTTAGTAGAGACGGGGTTTCACCATCCTGGCCAGGCTGGTCTTGAACTCCTGACCTCATGATCCACCTGCCTCGGCCCCCTAAAGGGCTGGGATTACAGGCATGAGCCACTGCGCCCAGCATAAATAAAAAAAATTTAAACTATTATATAATTTAGGATTTTCAGGAATGAAGGTTGATTCTTTATAAACCAAATTTGATTTTGTGAGGTTTTGCAGAATTTAATTTTACTTGGCTAAATATGACTCATTATATGGTCACAGTTTTTTCAGTGATTAATTTGGTAAGAAATATTTTGTTTTCCTTCTTGGCATTATCATGAGTTATGGCTTCCTGTACACATTCCTGCCATTTTAGCTGTGTACTTTTTCTTTGAAGCTGCCATATGTTAACAACCCAAGAGAGATGGTATTTACTGGAGAGATCATCACTTGTTGCTAATTTGATTTTTCAGATTCTCTGAGCTCTTATAAAAGAGAGAGAGCATGCTGATGAATGTTTTCCTGCCCTGACTGCTTTGAGGAGCTAGTGTTTGCTGCCCTGGGCCCTTAGTCCTGTTATGTTTTGGACTTGGGGATGGCCACTGTGTCTAATCCACTTTCCATTGAGGCTTTTCTGTAACTGGGGAGGGCTGGATCACTGTAGGGGTGGACAACCCTGAGTGAATGCACTGCAATTTAATATTTATGGCCGGTACAGAAACCATCAAGAATTGCTTAAGGATTTACTGACTTGGCATCATCAAAAATTTATGAGGCAGGTATGCTCATATTCCACAAGCCTGCATAGTCATAGAATGTCGTTTTATTTTTCTTTTGACATTATGCTTTCTGGAGTCTTAATAACTCATTAACAACTGATGACACACTTTGCTTTTTGGTTTAATTATAACCAAATTTTATTTGCCAAAATGATGTTTAATTTTTGGTGTATTAACCCATTATGAATATCTCTCTTTTCCTATGTTTACTATGACTGCTTTACATTTCCAGTCTCCCCAAATCTGATATTTTCCTTCCCCAAGAAAGAACCAAATACAATTATATTACGATTGCATGGTCTGTCTGGTTTGGACAGGGTGACTGAAATCTTGGGCTTCTTTTTAACTCTGAATTGGATCCAGCATTCTACTTTGCTTCGTATGTACCAATCTTGTTGGGTGAGACATATACATTGGAATTTGGCAAGTGTTTGTATACCCTTCACCCAACTCCACTGTTTTCAGAGACTGAGTAACAGTAGTGGCTGGATGCCAACTTCATGTCTGCCCTGAGAAGGTCACCAAACACGGACATTCCCCCGTGGTCTGGAATCCTGCAAATCTGTCAGCCTTTGGAAGTGAAGTGATTCTCCCCTAAAGATTATAGAGAAATTCTCTGAAGTCAAAGCTGATGAAATGTCTGGAGTTACTCTAGGATAAAATTTTAATTTATTTCAAAAAATACCTTTAGCATAAAATAAAATTTTTGAAATGAATGAAAAATGTTTATCATGCAACTTCTATAACAGAGCCCCTGGTTGCATTTTTTTGCATTATCTTCTGTGCTTGCAGTACAGGAAAGCTTTTTACACACTTGTACTGAGAAAGAGGATGCAATTTTACATCCTCTGTCTGTCCTTAACCTTATAGGACAATAGTGAGAGCATGGCACCAGTTAATCCTCGTAACTGTAGTTTGAGACAAATTTATCATTCCCAATCTACCAATGTGTGAAACTGAGGCTCAGTGAATTAACAGAGTGGCTCAAGTTTCTGTATATGGGAAGTAAAGAACTGGAATGAGACTCATCTGTCTCACTTCAGAGCCATACTCTTCATTATACACTTCTGTGTCCCTGGTTGCATTATAATATTCCAATTTATTATTTTTTATGTACATAACAGTCCAAGGATCAATATACTGTGACTTACTTAACTACCTCCTTATTCTGAGGTGTTTAATGATTATTTCATGAATTTTTTCTGAAGATAAAGTGCCAAGATTGGGATTAATGACCCAAAGAATGCAGTCATTTTTATGGCTTCATACATACTGCAGATTGATTTGCAGGTTATAGCAATTTAATTGATACTACCAATCCATCCTTTCTAATAATAAGCATTATTTTTTAAAAGATTATTAGTATAATAACAGAGTGGTATTTAATTCATGCCTTGTTTTTGCATATCTTTGACTAATACATTCAACTTGTTTTTTTGTGCCTTTATAAGTTTTTTTTGAGACAGGGTCTCACTCTGTCACCTAGGCTGGAGTGCAGTGGCATTATCTCGGCTCACTGCAACCTCCACCTCCTGGGCTCAAGCAATCCTCCCATCTCAGTCTTCCGAGTAGCTGGAAGTACAGGCATGTGCCACCATGGCCTGGCTTGGTAGAGACGGGATTATGCCATGTTGCCTAGAGTGGTCTCGAACTCCTGGGCTCAAGTGATCCACCTGCCGTGGCTTCCAAAAGTGTTGGGATTACAGAGTGAGCCACCATGCCCGGCCTACTTTTTTTCATTGTGTGTTTCACTCACGTCCGTGTGAAGAGACACCAAACAGGCTTTGTGTGAGCAACGAGGCTGTTTATTTCACCTGGGTGCAGGCAGGCTGAGTCTGAAAAGAGAGTCAGCGAAGGGAGATAGGGGTGGGGCTGTTTTATAAGATTTGGGTAGGTAAAGGAAAATTACAGTCAAAGGGGGGTTGTTCTCTGGCGGGCAGGAGTGGGGGGGTCACAAGGTGCTCAGTGGGGGAGCTTTTGAGCCAGGATGAGCCAGGAGAAGGAATTTCACCAGATAATGTCATCTGTTAAGGCAGGAACAGGCCATTTTCACTTCTTTTGTGGTGGAATGTCATCAGTTAAGGCAGGAACTGGCCATCTGGATGTGTACGTGCAGGTCACAGGGGATATGATAGTTTAGCTTGGGCTCAGAGGCCTGACATTCCTGTCTTCTTATATTAATAAGAAAAATAAAATGAAATGGTGGTAAAGTGTTGGGATGGTGAAAAGTTTTGGAGGTGGTATGGAGAGATAATGGGCGATGTTTCTCAGGGCTGCTTCGAGCGGGATTAGGGCGGCATGGGAACCTAGAGTGGGAGATATTAAGCTGAAGGAAGATTTTGTGGTAAAGGGTGATATTGTGCGGTTGTTAGAAGAAACATTTGTCATTTAGAATTATTGGTGATGGCCTGGATATGGTTTTGTATGAATTGAAAAACTAAATGGAATAAGAGAAGGAGAAAAACAGGTATTAAAGGTCTAAGAATTGGGAGGACCTAGGACATCTAATTAGAGAGTGCCTAAGGAGATTCAGCATAGTCCTGCCAGCAAAGATTATTTATTTACTTCAAAAGTTAAGAGCGGCAGTTTGGGGATAGCACCAGGAGATATCAGCTGTGATGGCTTGGAAAAACAGTGTAAACCGGCAGCGTAAACAAGAGCAGGGCATGTATGAGTAGTTGAGAATGGTGAATAGGAGTATAACTAGACAGAAGATAGTAGGGATGACAAGTTTTTTGGGGCACAGTCCAAGTTGGTCTGGTGTCTGGAATGAGACTGGGGCCTAATAAAAAGGAGCGTCCATACAGGAGCTCAAATGGGCTGTACCCTGTAGCATTCCGAGGACAGGCCTGAATTCTGAGAAGGGAAAGTGGTAAAAGTATTGTCCAGTCCTTTTTAAGTTGGTGGCTGAGCTTGGTGAGGTGTGTTTTTAAAAGACCATTAGTCTGTTCTACCTTTCCTGAAGACGGAGGACCGTAAGGGATATAAAGGTTTCACTGAATACTAAGAGCCTGAAAAACTGCTTGGCTGATTTGACTAATAAAGGCTCGTCTGTTATCAGACTGTATTGAGGTGGGAAGGCTAAACTGAGGAATTATGTCTGACAGAAGGGAAGAAATGACTGCAGTGGCCTTCTCGGACCCTGTAGGAAAGGCCTCTACCCATCCAGTGAAATGGCTACCCAGGCTAAGAGGTATTTTAATTTTCTGACTTGGGGCATGTGAGTAAAGTCAATTTGCCAGTCCTGGGCAGGGGCAAATCCCCGGGCTTGATGTGTAGGGAAGGGAGGAGGCCTGAACAATCCCCAAGGGGTAGTAGAATAGCAGATGGAACACTGAGAAGTGATTTCCTGGAGGATAGATTTCCAGGATGGAAAGGAAATGAGAGATTCTAAGAGACAGGGTAGCAGCTTGTAACCTATGTGGAAGAGGTTATGAAATGACAACAGAATAGAATGGGACTGTGAGGCTGCAAGGAGATATTTTCCTTGGTCTAAGAACCATTTGCCTTGTGTGGGAAGAGACTGATAGGTGGAAGTTTCAGCAGGGGAGTAGGTGGGAATGACTGATGTGAAGGAGAAAAACTGGCCGTGAGGGACAGAAGTTGGAGAGCTAGCTGCTTGTCTAGCCACCTTATCAGCATAAGCGTTGCCTAGAGCAATGGGATCTGACGCCTTTTGATGGCCTTTGCAGTGAATGACTCCAGCTTCCTTTGGAAGTAAAGCCGCCTTGAGCAGAGTTTTTATTAGAGGCATTAATGATGGAGGACCCTTGCGTAGTGAGGAAACCTCTTTCAGCCCATGTGACCACATGGTGGTGTATGATATGGAAGGCATATTTAGAGTCAGTATAAATATTGACGTGTCGTCCTTTTGCAAGAGTGAGGGCTTGAGTTAAGGCAACTAGTTCGGCTTTCTGAGAGGTAGTGGGGGGGGGTGGGCAGAGTGGTAGCCTTGATGATAGATGTGGAAGCTACTATAGCATAGCCTGCCTTTGCTGGTGAGTGGCGATTAGGCCTGGTGGAACTGCCATCAATAAACCAAATGTGATCAGGGTGAGGAACAGGAAAGAAGGAAATATGGGGAAATGGGGTGAATGTTAGGTGGATCAGAGAGATACAGTCATGAGGGTCAGGTGTGGTATCCAGAATAATGTGGGAGGCTGGATTGAAGTCCATGCCAGGAACAGTGGTAATTGTGGGACACTCAACAAAGAGTGAGCACAGCTGAAGGAGCCAGGGAGCAGAAAGTATATGCCTCAGGTGTGAGGAAGAAAATAGATTTTGGAAGTTATGAGAACTGTAGAGAGTGAGTTGAGCATAGTTTGTGATTTTGAGGGCCTCTAAAAGTATTAAAGCAGCGGCAGCCGCTGCACGCAGACATGAGGGCTAGGCTAAAACAGTAAGGTCAAGTTGTTTGGACAGAAAGGCTACAGGGTGCGGTCCTGGCTCTTGTGTAAGAATTCTGACCTCACTAACCATGCCTAGGAAGGAAAGGAGTTGTTGTTTTGTAAGGGATTGAGGTTTGGGAGATTAGTCAGACATGATCAGCAGGGAGAGCATGTGTGTTTTTATGAGAATTATGCCGAGATAGGTAACAGATGAGGATGAAATTTGGACTTGACTGAAGTAATGGGGGCTGTCTGTGAAGCCCTGTGGCAGTACAGCCCAGGTAATTTGCTGAGCCTAATGGGTGTCAGGGTCAGTCTAAGTGAAAGCGAAGAGAGGCTGGGATGAAGGGTGCAAAGGGATAGTAAAGAAAGCATGTTTGAGATCCAGAACAGAATAATGGGCTGTGGAGGGAGGTATTGAGGATAGGAGAGTATATGGGTTTGGCACCACAGGGTGGATAGGCAAAACAATTTCATTGATAAGGCGCAGATCCTGAACTAACCTGTAAGGCTTGTCTGGTTCTAGGACAGGTAAAATGGGGGAATTATAAGGAGAGTTTATAGGCTTTAAAAGGCCATGCTGTAACAGGTGAGTGATAACAGGCTTTAATCATTTTAAAGAGTGCTGTGGGATGGGATATTGGCATTGAGCAGGCTAAGGGTGATTAGGTTTTAATGAGATGGTAAGGGGTGCATGATCGGTCACCAAGGAGGGAGTAGAGGTATCTTATACTTGTGGGTTAAGGTGGGGGGATACAAGAGGAGGACGCAAAGGAGGCTTTGGATTGGGAAGAAGGGCGGCAATGAGATTCAGCTGTAGTCCAGGAATAGTCAGGGAAGCAGATAATTTAGTTAAAGTGTCTCAGCCTAATAAGGGAACTGGACAGGTGGGGACAATTAAAAAGGAGTGCTTAAAAGAGTATTGTCAAAGTTGGCACCAGAGTTGGGGAGTTTTAAGAGGTTTAGAAGCCTGGCCGTCAATATCTACAACAGTTATGGAGGCAAGGGAAACAGGCCCTTGAAAAGAAGGTAATGTGGAGTGGGTAGCCTCCATATTGATTAAGAAGGGGAAGGACTTACCCTCCACTGTGAGAGTTACCCAAATCTCGGCATCCATGATGGTCTAGGGGGCTTCCAAGGCGATTTGGCAGTGTCAGTCTTCAGCTGCTAAGCTGAGAAGATCTGGGAAGGAGTCAGTCAGAGAGCCTTGGGCCAGAGTTCCAGGGGCTCTGGGAGTGGCTGCCAGGTGAGTTGAACAGTCCGATTTTCAGTGGAGTCCCGCACAGATGAGACGCGGCTTAGGAGGAATCCTGGGCTGCGGGCATTCCTTGGCCTGGTGGCCAGATTTCTGGCACTTGTAGCAAGCTCCTGGGGGAGGCAGGCCTGGAGGAACTCCTGGTCACTGCGGTTTAGGCATTTGGAAGTTCTTGTGTGCTGGAGATGTGGCTGGGGTTTGTCTCACAGTGGAGGCAAGGAATTGCAACTCAGAAATATGTTGCTACTTGGCTGCCTCTACTCTATTATTGTACACCTTGAAGGCACGGTTAATGAAGTCCTGTTGTGGGGTTTGAGGGCTGGAATTTAATTTTTGGAGTTTTATTTAATGTCCAGAGCAGATTGGGTAATAAAATGTATTTTGAGAATAAGACGGCCTTTTGACCTTTTAGGGTCCAGGGCTGTAAAGTGTCTCAGGGTTGCTGCCAAACGAGCCATGAACTGGGCTGGGTTTTTATAGTTGCTGAAAAAGAGCCTAAACACTATCTGATTTGGGATAAAGAAAAAGGAGCATTAACCTTGACTATGCCTTTAGCTCCAGCCACCTTTTTAAGAGGAAATTGCTGGGCAGGTGGGGGAGGGCTAGTCATGGAACGAAACTGTAAGCCAGACCGGGTGTAAGGAGGAGAGGTGATAAAAGGATTATAGGGTGGAGGAGTGGAGGCCGAGGAAGAATTTGGACCTAGCTTGGCCTGGTGAGGAGGGGAGAGGTCAGATGGGTCTGTAGAAAAGGAAGATTAGAAAGACTTAGCGACGCTTGGGGTTGGGACTGAGGGGACAGGCAGGAGGGAAAGAAGGAAGATTTGGGATGAGTTGTACTGGGAACAGAGACTAGGGAGGGACCGATGTGTAAAAGAATGTCTGGACGTCAGGCATCTCAGACCGTTTGCCCATTTTATGACAAGAATTATTTAGATCTTGTAGGATGGAAAAATTGAACGTGCCGTTTTCTGGCTATTTGGAACCACTGTCGAGTTTGCATTGGGGTCAAGCGGCATCGCAGAAGAAAATAAGGCATTTAGGTTTTAGGTCAGGTGTAAGTTGAATAGGTTTTAGGTTTTTAAGAACACAGGCTAAGGGAGAAGAAGGGGGCAATGGGGGGCAGAAGCTTGCCCATAGTGAAGGAGGCAAGCCCAGAGAAAAGAGAGAGTAGAGACACGGAGAGAAGGGATGGGGGGTTCTTGCCCCCTAGAAAAGCTGTACTTGCCACTAACGGTGAAGGACCAAGGCAGGCGTCCCTGCATGGTCAGACACCTCTGAAACGTGGGTGAATAATCATGCAGACATCCCCGTGTGATTAAACACCAAGCGAAGACTGTCTTCCCGAGTCCGTGAACAGCGCCAGAGTTTTGGGTCCACAGATAAAACGCGTCTCCTTCATCTCTACCAGAAAAGGAAAGGAACTGAAATTAAGAGAAGGGAGAGATTGAAGTGTGGCGCCAAGATTGAAAGGAAAAAGAGGTTGAGGGATAGTGAGAGAGGTTGGAGAAGAGAGTAAAAAGAGGCCGCTTACCAGATTTAAAATTGGTGAGATGTTCCTTTCTGAGGACCAGAGGTCATAGGTGGATCTTTCTCACAGAACAAAGAGCAGGAGGACAGGGGATTGATCTCCCAAGGGGGGTCCCCCGATCTGAGTCACGGCACCAAATTTCACTCGCGTCCGTGTGAAGAGACCGCTAAACAGGCTTTGTGTGAGCAACAAGGCTGTTTATTTCACCTGGGTGCAAGCGGGCTGAGTCCGAAAAGAGAGTCAGCGAAGGGAGATAGGGGTGGCGCTGTTTTATAAGATTTGGGTAGATAAAGGAAAATTACAGTCAAAGGGGGGTTGTTCTTTGGCGGGCAGGAGTGGGGGTCACAAGGTGCTCAGTAGGGGAGCTTTTGAGCCAGGATGAGCCAGGAGAAGGAATTTCACCAGATAATGTCATCAGTTAAGGCAGGAACAGGCCATTTTCACTTCTTTTGTGGTGGAATGTCATCAGTTAAGGCAGGAACTGGCCATCTGGATGTGTACTTGCAGGTCACAGGGGATATGATGGCTTAGCTTGGGCTCAGAGGCCTGACAGTGTGTTGTCTATGTCCTTTGTCTATTGGTTTTATTTTGAAGGAGGCACCTAGTGGTTTTCTTCTCTTTATATAATATGGTTATCAATCATTTTTTCCTATTTGTATGTGTGTGTGTATTTGTGAAATTAACCCCTCATCATGATTAATAGTGGACCAAGAACAAAGTATAAAAAATAATATCATGTTGAGATAACGGCGTAGAATGGATTTTAAACTTCTTAAGGCATTAGGGTGCAAATGATGTACTAAACAACATAGACCGATCTTTCTGAGTAAAAACATTCTATTTCCACTCTGTGTATTAATATGCATTGGACCTGGCCTTTCAAACAAATGTGATATTCAGGGAACTGCCGCAATTGAGACCTTAATAAACCAGTTTCACTTTTTTCAGTAAATCTGTGAAAGCTATTATTTTACATTTTCTCCACTGTTAAAATACAGAAACTGAGAGAAGTACTCAGTATCCTACCCAAGACCTTATTTTTCTTCAGGATGCATCTCATGTTTTGTACTTCACTGTCTTTGGCTGTTTTTTTCTTTATTATTTCCCATTTTCTTAAGTTGATCCATTATAAAAACAACTCCTGCTTACAGGACTATTTTTTTCCTTCCAGAGGCGTGCTGTTATTTCATAGGTGAACGGATAGTGTCCTGATGGTGTCTGTGGCCCTTGAAGCTGCAGTTTAAGGAGGGGGTTCAAAGAAATGGTAGAGAAAGGTCGTCCCTGTCCTGGAAGGATGCCAGATAGGATGACCTTTGAAACTGTCATCAGGGGCATGAAAAATGGGTTTGCAATAGTTCCCTGCCCTTCTCTGCATAAACGATATACAGCATTTGATATTAAGGCAAATATCCTTTTCCATTGATGATGTGTAATCATAAATCATAAGAAATTTCTATGATTTCGGATTCAGGAAGGCACCTTTCTACCTGTTGCAGCTGTTGGGAGTCATTCTCCCTCCAGCCCGACTATGTCTTCCCACGGCTTTTGGCTGCTCCCATTGGCTTTCACATTCTCCTCTCCACCTTTGGACTATCCCCTACCCTTATCTATCCACACATTCACTTCCTACATTCCTTCCATGCCTAATCAGGACAGCTCCTCTGACCACCTTAACTTCCCAGGATGTCCGCGTGCTCTGGATAAAGTGCGCTAAGCCCCGCCCCGCCCCTCCCCGTGTGATCTGAGTCGGGCCCCACTGACTTTCCTGTACACACATCCTCTGTCCTCCTTGGACCCATATTTGTAGTCAGTCTCTCTGTTCCCACTCTGCATGGCACTTGACCTGATGCTGGGAAGGTAATCATTATCCTTCCCTTAATGTTTCAGGATTATTCATTCTATTTTGCCACATCTAATGTAATATTTAATAGCATCTATGAAGAAGACTGAAGACTATAAATAAATGCTCTCTTTAGTATTGAGAAGGTTTTATACAATATAAAATTTAGAGTACATTTTTTTCTCAGGAGGTCTGACATTAATATTAATCGTGAGCCCCAAAGTAGAAGCTTTTATATTTTAGCATAATGAAGTTTACCATATGTTTCAAAGTCACTTGCAATTGTGCTTCTCATAATGACAATTAGAAAGGTCATCCTGTCTTGCCAGGCTCCATTAGGTATATAAACCAGCTCGTGGCTGTCACCGTGAAATGTGTTAAGGCACTTGTATGCAAATTCAAGGGGAGACATGATATTTTTTATCCCAAAGTGTAGCTGTTTACAACTAATTACCAAACACGGAACAAGCCTATTGTTTGCCTTTACATGATATATGGGCATAGAAGTTTCTAAAGCAAATTCTCCTCTGTCTTTTCATTGATTAAATTATATGAAGTCACCCTCTTCCATGAAGCATTACATGATGAGGTCCCCAAAGCACTGAATAAAGAAATTTGTCATTAAGACACTGGTGTATTTCTGATCTATATATTTTTTTTCTGCTTCACTCGAAAAACTTATTATCTGCATGAAAGTATGGAAACTGTTATTGTATTTAACTCTCTACATGTGAACCTTGAAGAAATGATGGGGCGAAGGTGAAATGAAAGGGAGGAGGTGAGGAGGTGGCACAAGTAATGTTTTCTTATGGAACTTGTAGAGGGATAAACCTACATTAGAATCAAAGCAGGTAATTCCTGGGAAACTGAAGCATGCCATTGTGGATGTGGGTCATGGGAACTGATGCTGGAAAAAAATAGTTCCTAATCTGGTTTGGGAATGGCAAATTTCGTTGCCACAATTGAAATATTAATATACTTCTTTGTATGAATGCCCTTTCATTTATGCCTTTTTTTTCTTTAAGAGGCATTTTTTCTCTAAGACAGGCTAAACTTCTGTATTCAAGCCTTTAGAGTTTGCAAACATTTATCAATAGATAAGAAAGATAGATAAAAAGTCCTGGATTCATTAATGCACAGCCATGGTCTCTACAGTTTTGAAATTTCTCACTTGGGAGAATACTGGAGAAGAACATGTGGCCCGTGAAGCATTTGACTGTTAATATTTCGTACTATTCAGATGCTTTAATTTAAAAAATTAATCTATGAATTTAACATATATTCATGGGATGCAGACACTGCAGAGAGCTGCCTCTTCCTGGACTTTGTGTTTGAACTGTGTTCCGGTTGCTTAAGCACCCATCTATCTGGAATGGTTTGTGTTCAGGTTTTCCAGAGGAAAGGATGACTCCATGTTCCTCAAGGAACTTTCCAGGCAAATGAATTTGTTATTTTTTAATATTAAAAATGATCCTCTTTATTGAGAGTGATAGACTAAGGGAGGAATAAACAGTTGTAATAGCCCTGTGACACATAAGCGGAGAAAAAAACCCCCTCCATGCTTATGTAAATAGGAAGGAGAACAACTGTAGCAAGAATATAGAAAAGGACTCCTTTCTTCTCTCTTCCACTCTCGTTTTTTGCCCTTTGGCCTAAAGCTGTTAACATTGGGTGAATGTCCCTGTCGTCATCTTGCATTATATCTCACGTTCTGTTTGTTATTGATAGGGATGGATATCTGAGAGTCTATATCAAGAGTTACATGTAAGTTTGTGTAAGGCCCTTCTTTTGCTTCTACATTTTTGCTCGTTGTATGGATGCATTTTGTAGGACTGTGAGCTTATATTTAAAACACCTGTGCGGCAGTGGACCCTTGTCACCGCCTGGCCTCTCATTCAGAAGCCTTAGCTGTTCCTCAACTCCTACAACACATGTTGAGCGCCTCTCAGGTGCCAGCTACTGTAATAGGCACTGGGGAGTGGAAGGGTGACAAGATGTGATTCCTGACCTCGAGAGCTTTGCAGTCACTGGTGGAGGAGGCACATGTACACAGCAAATAGGGCACGATGTGTTGAAGGATGAAATGAAGCAATAAACAATAGGTATCAAGACAGCAGAGATAAGGACAACCAAGGATGCCTTCGAGGAGCCAGGGAGAGCCTCACAGAGGAGGCAGGGCATGCACCGTGGCTTGGGGATGGAAGGGGCAGAAATAGTGTTGTTTTAGGGAAGAGGAGAGCACAGACTCAGAGGTCGGAGGAACGTGGCACATCTAGGAGACAGGGATCCAATCCCAGCCCTACCACTTAGCAGCTGTGTAACTTTGGGAAAGTTTGCTAATCACTCTGAGTATGTTTCCTCCCACGTAAAGTAGAAATACTACTACTACTAATATTGACCTCTTAGGACCATGAGTAGATAAAGTAATAATACATGTAACAATCTTGGCTTAGTGCCCTAGCGTATCATAAGGACTCAATAAATATTAGTTTATGTGATTATTGATCTGGCTGGACTGAAGGGTGTAAGAGTGAGAATGATAGGAGATGAGGCTGGAGAAGTGGACAGAGCCAAACCATGAGATACCTTTTCACCAGGCTGGGGTTTTCAAGATTTCTGAAAGGTCGTGGCTAGCCATTAAAATAACTTGGTTTCTGTATCCTCCACTGCTCCTGAACATTCTTGTATTACAGTTGTGTTAGTCTGTTTGCATTGCTATCAAGGAATACCTGAGACAGGGTAATTTGTAAAGAAAATAAGTTTATTTGGCTTATAGTTCTGCAGGCTGTACATGAAATATAGTGCTGCCATCTGCTTCTGGCAAGGCCTCAGGAAGCTTACAATCATGGTGGAAAGGGCAGGGGAGCCAGCCAGCGTGTCACATGGCGAGAGAGGGAGCAAGAGGCGAGGTGGAGGTGCCAGGCTCTTTTTAAACAACCGGATCTTGTGTGAACTCATTACCACAGAAAGGGCACCAAGCCATGCATAAGGGACTCGCCCCCATGACACCAGCACCTCCCACAAGGCCCCACCTCCAACATTGAGGAATCACATTTCAACATGAGATTTGGAGGGGGCAAACATCTAAACTATATCAAAAGTCGATGATTAAACACAGTCTCATATAAATGTTCTACCTCAAAAAAACCCAAACATTGCACACCTATTATAGCTAAGATAAAAAATACTGACAACACCAAGTGCTGCCAAGAAGGTGGAGCAGGCCAATTGCTCATACATCTCTGGTGGGATGTGTCAGTATCGCAGGTGGGGTTGTAAGAGTAGAGCCATCTGGAAGACAGTGCCAGTGGCTTATGGAGTTAAACATTACACTTGCCATGTGACCTGGCAATTCCACTCCTGGGTACTTATTTATCCTCTAGAAATAAAAATTTATATCCCACAAAACTGTAATGAATATTTATAGCAGCTTTATTCATAATTGCCTAAAACTGAAAACAAGTCAAATGTCCTTCACTGAGTGGATAGAATAACAAACTATGGTACCTTCACATAGTGGAACACGACTCAGTAATAAGGAACAAACTATCAATATACACAACAACCTGGCTGCATCTCAAATGCATTGTACTGAGTGAAAGAAACCGGTCTCAAAAGGCTACAGCTGTAGCATCCTATTCATACGATGCTCTGGAAAAGAGACCTCTAAGGGCAGGGTTTAGGAATTGGGAGAGGGGCTGGGGAAGGGTCTGATTAGAAATTAACAGCCCAAGGGAATTCTTGGTTTTGTTTTTATTTGTTTTTTTTTTTTTGTTGTTGTTGTTTTTTGAGACGGAGTCTCGCTCTGTCACCCAGGCTGGAGTGCAGTGGCGCGATCTCAGCTCACTGCAAGCTCCGCCTCAGCCCAAGGGAATTCTTTAGGGGCCTTGGGATTGTTCTGTATCCTGTTTGTGGTGATGGTTACAAGTTACAGCCCATAGAACTGTACAACAAGTGAATTTTACTGCGTGTAAATTTTTAAAAAATTTTAAAAACTTGAAGACATATAGCTCATTTACCACGTGCTTTACCTGTCTTATCTCATTAATCCTCTCTATGAGGTTGATGTTATTATTACAGGTCGAACATTCCTAATCTGAAAATCCAAAATCTGGAATGCTCCAAAATCTGAAACTAATTTTGAGGCCTGACATGATGCTCAAAGGAAAAGCTCATAGAAGCATTTCGGATTTTGCATTTTCAAATTAGAGATTCTCCACAGGTAATTATGCAGATCTTCCAAAAGCTGAAAAAAATCTGAAATCCACAACACTTTTGGTCCTAAGCATTTCAGATAAGGGATACTCAACCTGGATCTCTATTAGTGCATTATTATCTACTACTATTATTATTATTGACTAAGCAGAGGCTTTGTGAGGTTTGGCCCAAACCTACATACCTTCCAGGGGGCAAAGCCTGGCACAAGCCAGGTGTGCACACTCCCCAGACCCTGAATTTCCACAGCATTGCGAGTCACCCCTCAAGGAGTCACAGAGTGGGTGGTAGATCTTTCTCAGGCTCTTGTACAGGCTGTACCTCAGTTTATCCAGCTCATTGGTCAGTGTGGTTGCTCTGTGCATCATGCTGGTGCAACTTTTACAAATGTGCAAATGTTCTAAATGCTTAGTATCAGAGAGGGAGTTGCCTACTGAATATTTTCTGACCTCTTAACTTGTACTGTTGGCTAAGTTAAATTTGGCTTCTTTTCAAGGAACTATTACCTTCCTAGAGGGTTTGTGTGGTGACACCCATAAAAATCTTATTCAGTTTTTGTTCAATTCACAGCTTTAACTTAGTCTCCTTAAAAATCACTCAGGTTGTAACCAAAGGCTGCTCTATGGCTGAGTAGAATTGTTAATTATTAATAACTGTTAATCAACTACATAGTCAACCTCAGACAAGAGGGCAAGAGATAATTCCTTAGACACACACACAAAAAGAGCAAAATGTTAAGGTTAGAAAACAGTAAAAACGATGAAGATATTTAATTCTTTTTGCATACTTTGTAATTATTTGTTTAAATATCTATTTCCCTAGCCTCTGTGCCAGTTTTTCTCGTTGTTTTTTATTTTTATTTTTTTAAGAGAGGGTCTTGTGTTGTTGCCCAGGCTGGAGTCCAGTGGTGCAACCATGACTCACTGCATCCTCACACTACTGGGCTTTGATCCTCCCATGTCAGGCTCCCAAGCATCTGGGACTACAGGCATGCACCACCATGCCTGGCTAATTTTTAAAACATTTATTTTTGTAGAGATAGGATCTCTCTCTGTTGCCCAGGCTGGCCTTGAACTTCTGGTCTCAAGCAATCCTCTCACCAGTCCTCTCACCTCAGTCTCCCAAAGTGCTGGGATTACGTGAGCCATTGCGCCCAGCCTTTTCGAGGCTATTAGTTTTCTGCCCCCAGTTCCTGTAATCCTTGCATAGAATAGGGGCTTAGTAAAGGTTTGCTGAGTTAGAACTCCATTTCAATGGATATTGAACTTGAGAACTGAGTGAGACTTGTGGAGTATGGTATTTCAAAGTATTATTTATCCAACAGTCTGATATTTCAGAATCATTCATTTGCCAACTCCTATGTAGGTACTTTGGAGATATTATTTGAGTTATTCCTTATGACATCCCATGCAGCAAACATATTCCTTCCTAAATGAGGAAGCTGAGGCTAGGAGTGATGAGCTGATTTGCTTGTTATGCACACTGGATGGAGTGTGAGCTGTGTCAGACACGTGAATTCAGATCCTCTTGTGCCACATCAGAGGGACATGAGATGGGGTGGCTGTTTCACTTCTGTGAGCCTCACTTTCCCCCTCATTCATTTATGTAACCAATGGTGGGTCCAGGTTTTGTGAGGACTGGAGCTTACATAATTTGAGTATGGGTCTTATTTAAAGAAAAAAATATATAGGATTATGATTCAAATTTGGATACAGGGTTTGAAGGAGACTTGTGACAGCGGGAGACCCTGAGGCTTATGTGCCATTAGATTCATGGTAAATCTGTCCTTGCTTTCAACTAATTTTTATAGTGAGCCACTACGTGCCGGGCTGTGTCTGCAGCTGGTTACATGTGCTGAGCCTAACAGTACCATCCTGGTCCTCTAGAATGCTAGAGCCCACTGGGAGACACCACCAGAAAACAGACAACGGCAGTACAGTCAGATAAGTGTATGATGGGGGGGTATGAAAAGCCAGGAAAGATTTCTGGAAGAGATGACATCTAAGCTGCTACTCAGGATATGTAAAAGTTAAAATGGAGAAAAGTATGGAAAGCCCATTTGAGGCAGAAGAAAGAACAAGCATGAGAGGTGATAGAGAAAAGCTTCCTTATGGGGACCGCAAGAAGTTTAGTGGGGCTGCGTTGTTCAGTGGGGTGGAGGAGTGGGGAGAGCTTCAGCTCCAGAATTAGGCAGGGGCCAGGTGGGCTTGTGTACCACTTAAGGAGCTTGGAAATGGTCCTAAGAGCAATAGGAGGCACTTGGACAGATTTAAGCAGGGAGTGATCTGATAAGATTTGCATTGGGGGGATGAAAAAAAGGCCACACTGGGTCCAGCTGCAGAATGGAGAGAGAATCCACTCCACACTGGGCACGAGGGCCATCCCCCTGCAGGGAGGCCAGTGGCAGGAGAGAGGAAGGTGACAGGAGAGCAGCTGTGAGAACGAAGAGGAGGGGATACGTTACAAAGTTGTTCAGCAGTGAGAACCAACAGGACTTGAGAGTGGATGCTTAGAGGCAGGAGGTGCAGGTGGTCATGAGGGAGGAGATAAGATAGAAGCTTAGCTTTCTGGCCTGGACCACCGGTGGGGGGTATTCATTAGAATCAAGGCCATAAGAACAGCAGATTTGGAAGAGATTGTATGTCTCCTTTGAGCCAGTTGAGTTTGCAGTTTCTGAGTGACATCCAGGTGGAGATGTTCAGTGGAGAGCTGGTTGCAAAGCTGAGGAAGGAGAGCTGACTGACGGCAGGGCTTTGGCTGTTCTCAGCATATGGATTATAATTAGAGCCGTGCAGATAGATGAGAGTGCATGGGAAAAGCCAGTGCAGAGACAAGATGGTGCAAAGGAGTATCCTAAAGAACATTAATCTTTAGGGGACAGGCAGAGGACAAGGAGCCACAAAGAAGCATGAGAGACTGTGGTCAGGGATGAGGGAGGACCGGCAGGAGTGTGTGAGGAGCACGGATTGTTTTTGTTTGTGGGGTTCCCCTGCCTTTAGGGACACACTAACTCTTTGGATATCAACTGGTTGTCCCGGAATTCCATTTAGCTCTGTTTGACTTGTGTGCAGAGCCCATGGTTTTCACAGCCCCTCTTCCTTTCAGATTTGATAATTTGCTAGAGTGGCTCACAGAACTCAGGAAAACACTTTACTTATGTGTACAGGTTTATTGTAGAGGATACAACTCAGGAACAGCCACATGGAAGAGATGCATAGGACAAGGTATGGGGGTGGCGCAGAGCTTCCATGCCCCCTCCAGGTGCGCCACCTCCCAGCACTGCCATGGCCTCACCAGTCCAGAAGCTCTCTGAACCCTGTGGTTTAGGGTTTTCATGGAGCTTGGTTTTATACATTTTAGGGAGACATGAGACATCAATCAAATACATTTAAGAAATACATTGGTTTGGTCCAGAAAGGCAGGACAACTTGAAGCAAGTTGGGCGGGCAGGGAGGCTTCCAGGTTATAGGAAGGTTTAAAAATTTTCTGATTGGCAATTGGTCAAAAGAGTTATTATCAATACCCAGCATTTTGGGAGGCCGACGGGGGTGGATCACGAGGTCAGGAGATCAAGACCATCCTGGCTAACACGTGAAACCCCGTCTCTACTAAAAATACAAAAAAAATTAGCCGGACATTGTGGTGGGCGCCTGTAGTCCCAGCTACTCGGGAGGCTGAGGCAGGAGAATGGCATGAACCTGGGAGGCGGAGCTTGCAGTGAGCTGAAACTGTGCCATTGCACTCCAGCCTGGGCGACAGAGCAAGACTCTGACTCAAAAAAAAAAAAAAAAGAAAAAAAAGAAAAAGAAGAGTTATTATCAATAAGAAGGAATGTCTGGGTTTCGATAAGGGGTTGTGCAGACCAAAGTTTTCTCATGCAGCTGAAGCCTCCAGGTGGCAGGCTTCAGAGAGACTAGATTGTAAATATTTATTATCAGATGTAAGGTCTGTGTTGATGTTAATACCGGAGGTTATATTGAGGCATGTTCAACCCTACTTCCCGTCATAGCCTGAGCCAGTCTTTCTGGTTAAATTTTAGAGTTCTCTGGCCTGGCAGGAAGTCCATTTACATGGTTGAGGAACTTAGAATTTTGTTTTTGGTTTACAAAGAGAAAGCAGAGAAGGGTGATGAATGACTGAGCCACATCCTGGTGCCAGCTCTGGACCGGGTTTGGCTGTGGTCTCCACAAACATTTTTGAATGAATACATGAGTGAGCAAGTGAGTGAGTGAATGGGAGGAAGGCCGGCGGGGGGAGGTTTGAGGAGAGTGGGGAAAGGTCTGCTGTGGTGCCTTGAAGGTGGGGAGACCTGGCACGGGGAACACAGAATTGCCAGGTGGATTTGGTGCCCATTTGGAAGGTGGCCCAGTGACTTCTGGGGACAGTGTCCCTGAGATCATGCATTTTCCCCAGCTGTGCTCAGCAGCCTGCTTCAGGGAGAGGGAATGGCAACAGCGAGCACGCCAGGCTGGGGGTTTCCAGGCAGGTAGAGGAGAAAGGCAACTGGGTTCGGGAGCCGAACGGAGTGGCAGGAAGGTGAGTGAAGTGATGGATGGCTATGTCTACACTGGAGGCTGGTAAAGGAGGGAAAGTGATAGGTTGAGGGGTGGGTGGCTGGATGTGGTCGTGGAACAGGGGCAGAAATAACTAGGGTGTGGGAAAAGTAGTGGCAAGGTGGCTGGGAGCTTGGTGGCTCAGTTTGGGTGCAGATGAAGCCAAGGTGAAGTGAGGTGGGATGGTGAGACCAAGGACCCAGAAGCCCAGGTGTCGGCCTGGTGATGCAAGGATGGCGGCAGGGCTCGGGGTGGGGAGGAGGTGGAGGTCCAGGATCAAGGCCCCCAGAGAAGGGGGATGTCCCAGATGAGAGCAATGAGAAGGACAGCTTGGGGTGAAGCTGAATGCCCTGAGCCTTCAAGCAGCAACAGATTATACCTGAAGGTAGAGCCACGTTAGGGACGTGGGAGGACACTGACTGCTTGGGTAGGGGTGGGGAGTGAGCATCCACACTCGAGTGGCTGCAGATGCCATGAGACCCTCCAGGGATGACCAGGTCACTGTTAGGGCAGAGAGGAGGAGGCAGCTTTCAGAAGGAGCTGGGCATGCAGAGCTTGCTAACCAGTGATGGAGGATCCAGGCAGTAGGGCAAAGCCCATGGAGGGGCCCACAGGACGGGACAACTGCGAAGACACTGTCTGCCTTGGAATGCGGGCAGCATCTTCATAGCCATCCAGGGATTTGGACCCTGGCCTTCCTAAGTGAGAGCTATACTTTTTCTATAATTTCTGCCACTACATAACTGCCAAAGTTAAAGGTGGAAAAAGAGTCTCTGTCCTAGCTTTTCAGCGACCTTTTCAAAAGGAACAGAAAATCGTCGCATTCTCTTGCTTCTACAATGCCAGTGATTGTCTGATGCATCCTGGGTTTGACAAAGGCAGGTAGACACTCACGGTGCAGGGACACGCCAGTTCCAAATCGCATCTTTACTTTTTAAATGTTGAAAAACAAAAAAGACAGTGCATCTTAGAATTTAAGGCAACATAGTAACTAAAGTGGCGGAGGCTTTTAACTGAAACCAGAAGAAACAGCATGAGTTTTGTTGTTTTATGTTTCTTAGCTGAAAGAAACTCAGGCAGGATAACGTGATAAGGAAACTCAGGTATTTGCCTGTGATTAGTTCAGGAACTGTTGAAAAAAGACTCTGGGATTGGGCAGAACTAGAGTTTAGATCACTAGCTTGAAGGACTTTTAAGTCCAGTTTAAGATTTGGAGAGAGTTATAAAGGCTAAGCCAGCATTTATAAGAACATGTACCAATTAGAGAAGTACAGGAGAATTTGCTGTTTTCTCTGTTATTATAAAGATCATTGTTCTTAAATTTACATTAGTTTGCTAGGCCTACTGCCACAGAAAACCACAGACTGAGTGGCTTGGACAACAGATGTTTATTTTCTCCCAACTCTGAAGGCTGGAAGTTCGAGATCAAGGTGTCAGCACAAATGGTCTCTCCCTAAGCCTCTCTGCTTGGCTTGCGGATGGCTGTCTTCTCCCTGCGTCCTCCCTCACATGGCCTTCCCTTTGTGTGTGTCTGTGTCCTCATCTCCTCTCCTCATAGGGATGCCGATCAGACTGGTTTAGGGCTCAACCTCTTGACCTCGTTTCAATGTTATCACCTCTCTAAAGACCGTGTCTCCAAAAAGTCACATTCTGAAGTACCAGGGATTAGGGATTCAACATATAAGTTTTGGGGGAGGACACAGTTCAGTCCATAGCAGCCTATTCCATACCTCATTTTATAAGAAGAGAATTTAAAATCAGATCCTTGCCTAGCACTCTTCTGGTCACACACAGAAAATAATCCAGAAAGTTACCTTGGCTGCTCAGCCTCATGTGGCTGGACCCTCTGTTGCTGTAAGACCTCACCGGACCCTTCTCCGTCCTCGCTCCTTCACATGCTGGAACCTTCCTTACATGTCTAGATGCACCGAGCTTGTTCACACCTTCAGGGTTTGTTCCCTCATCCTAAAATGGTTTCTCCTTAGTTTTATATGGCTCTACCCTTGTGCCGTTTTGGCCTCAAGTTAAATCCTGTTCCTCCAAGAAGCCTCCCTGACCATCCAATGGAAAGCAGCCACCCAGCAATGCCAGATCTCATTACCCTGTCTCAGTGCTCAGTGTGGTACTTATTGCTGGCTGATAGGGCCTCATTTATCTTGTCACCAATGTCCCCAGCACTGAAGCAATCCCCAGCAGATAGTGTCACTCAAATATTTGCCAAGTGAATGAATAAAACCAGAAGAGTTAGGAAGAAATGAAGAGAGCTGCTGGGAAGAATCTGGATGTTCCTGAAGTCCAAGACTTTATTTTTTTAGGTGGGATTCATCAAAAGGAGGCAGTTTGCCTGAGGTCCCTTCCCTGGGCAAAGAGAGAAACAGGGCTGGTCTGACTCCAGGCCTGTCTGTGACTTTGATTGTTTTAACAAGCAGATGGTATTTTTGTACACAGTGACTTGGAGAACTTGGAGACGCGTATCAATGCCGCCTTTCTTCCCTGTCCCTTGCATAACAGGTTTGGTGTCTTGGATCAAGTTTGGGGCAGCATCAAACTGCGCCACTAGACTGCATCCCATGATGCAGGGATTATACTGTATTCATACCCTGCAGTGTTTGCACATAGAAGCCTTACTATAAATGTTTGCTGAGTGAAAAACAGTGAATAAATGAGCGAATATTTAAATGACAAGAACTGACAGTCTTTTGAAGTTCCTCTAGGGTGGTGCTTCTCAAACTTCAACATCCATCTGAACCATCTGGAAAGCTAGTTAAAATGCCAGGTGTGATTCAGGAGGTCCTGGGTAGCCTGAGAATCTGCATTTCTAATGAGTTTCCAGGTGATGGTATTGCTGCTGTTCTCACCTCTCCTTTGTGTAGCAAGGCTCTAGGATGTGTCCAGGATGGTCTATCTACTTGGTCAAAGATAATCTTGTGAGTTGACTAGTCATCAAAAGACCCCGATCACTTCTCAGTTTGTCCAAAAAATAACACATGCAACTTTCAGCCAGTTACTTAACCTCAGTGATCTTCAGTTTTTGTGCATAGGTGAATTGGAGATGGGTGTTAATGCCCCCTTTCTTCCCTGTCCCTTGCATATTATGCCTGATGTCTTGGATCAAGTTTTGGGCAGTATCAAACTATGCCATTAGATCATATCCCATGATGCAGGGATTACATTATATTCATACTCTGCAGTGTCTTGCACATAGAGGCCTTACTGTAAATGTTTGCAGTGAAACAACGAATAAATGAGTGAATATTTAAAAGACAAGAACTGACAGTCTTTTGAAGTTCACTTTGGAGGAACCTAGTCCAATTATCAGGAGATATTATTTGTTGAACACTTTGTACCTGCTGAGCTTCTTGATATGTGTTACGTTTACTTATCACAACAATCCTGCAAGGTGGAATTATTATCCTCATTTTTTTTTTTTTTTGAGACAGAATTTTGCTCTTGTTGCCTAGGCTGGAGTGCAATGGCCTGATCTCGGCTCACTGCAACCTCTGCCTCCCAGGTTCAAGTGATTCTCCTGCCTTGGACTCCCGAGTAGCTGGGATCATAGGGATGCGCCACCACGCTCGGCTAATTGTGTATTTTTAGTAGAGACGGGGTTTCTCCCTGTTGGTCAGGCTGGTCTTGAACTCCCTACCTCAGGTGATCCATCCACCTCGGCCTCCCAAAGTGCTGGGATTACAGGCGTGAGCCACCGTGCCTGGCCTATCCTCATTTTACAGAAGAGGAAACTAGTGCTCAGAGAGGTTAGACAACATGCCCAAGGTCCCCAAGTCAATAACCAGGAGCCAATAGCAGGGCTCTGATGATGATGATGGTGGTGTGTGTGTGTGGTGTAGTGTATGTTTGTGTTTTCATGTGTATATGTGTGTGTATGTGTGCGTGTGTTTCCCTCATACCATTTTGCTTATCAAATGATCCTTTAGGTTCTTTCCAAGTGTATGATTTTAGGTCAAAGACAAAGCATGACACAGTTCACTGTGAATTGTGAGTTATTATACAAGCTCGTGAAAGAGTCGGATACCTTTTCTGATCCTCAATATAACCTTTGTCTTCTCACCACCATAACACGTTGGTTTCTCTTCAGGAACTGATTTTATATTCTCATGAGCACATATGCAGTTTCTCCTATAGACTGTAAGATTTTTAAGAGCAAGGACTGGGTCTTATTTTTCATTTTGTTCCCTAGTGTCTTCGATCCTTATTGCATTCAGTGGTTTGATTTGAACAGAACTTTGGAAGCATGAGACAGACTCTGTACATTAAAATGCTTCCATAGCACTCACCATGGTGTCCAAAGTGTCACTAAATCTCTGCTTGCTTGAGATTTCTCTATCTTAATTAATCTTGATTTGTGCTGTTTTTTTGTGAAAGAGTAAATGCCTGTGGGAGGGCTGGGCCCCACCTACGGAGAACTCTGGTAGTGTGCCAAGAGCAGGACTGCATAATTGGTGCATGTGACAAGGAACAGAGGAGGGTGGAGGGGTCCCTGGATGATGGGGGTGCCTTCCCCTTGGCTGTCTTTATTGTGTCCCCATTGGCATTACTGTTACTGATCACTAAATCAGGGAACAGACGGAGGCGTGAGGTAGGATCCTACGACAGACAGCCTTTAGTGAGTTACCAATGACGCCAGAGTTGACCATCAAGTAAATCTGTTGCCTTTTGAAAGACATGTCTGTCTGTACAATGCTAGGGCCTGAGTTGCTTAACCTTCTAGTAAACCATGAATTTCTCTCACATGTCCTTGGGGTGATGAAAATCTTCCCGAGTTGTGCGGAGCACAAAGTAGAACCTGACAGGGAATGTTCTGAAATAATTGTGTGGATGGTGACAGGTAAAAAAATACACTGTAGAGATATCGATCCTGTACGAATGCAACCTAAGTTGTTGCTCTGTTAAGAAATGTTTTTGGAGTTCTCTATACACTAAAAAAAGAAGAAAAAGAAAAAGAAGAAAAGTGGAAAAGAAGAGATTTCTCTTGTCTTGTATGAAGCAGCAAAATAATATTCTATCAGAATTGTTTTAAATATGGTAAAGTGGGGCACTTCTATTTAAAGGGTACGTCTTTGGTTCATTTTTTATTTTTAATTGCCCTGATATCTCTTGCTTTTGGGAAAGTCCGACGCTCTGGCTCTCTGCTATCTGTTCAACCAGCCTTCAGTAGAAGTGGGAACACAAATGGCTCATTGTTTTAATTTTGGATTTCCTTAGGCTGTTGCTGTCACCTAGTCATCTCAGACACTCTTACAGGGAAACCAGCACTGGCAGGGTGTGAAGGTCATAGCAAGGGCAGCAGTGCTTCCCAGGATCATGTGCCTGGAGAGGTCGGTATGCCCTGACTTCTAAAGGGGGCCTGCCTTCCACAGGACGAGCACTTACTGAGCGCTTCTCCTGCACTTACTGTACATTCTCATCCATATGTTAGTTGTTGTTACCATAAATGTCCTCACACATCTGTGGCATGTGGATGACAAGAGCTTCTGAGTATATTTTTTAACTGTGTTTTTCGAAGGCAACTTTAAGTGCTAACAATCCAGTGGTTATATGGGTGGCTATTGACTTTCAGATTCACGGCACTGTTCTGAGTGGGTAATTCGCCGCCTTTCTCTAACTCTTATGTCCTTGAGGAACCTGAATGTACAGATGATTACCTGTACCTACTGAGCATCCTCTCGCAGAGTTGGGGCGATAAATATTCTGCAAAACCTGCTATAAAACAGTCAGCCCTGAGCAGCAGGAAACTGAATATAGTCACTCACATAGCTAAACCCAGGCTCAGGCCTACATTCACCCCTGTCCGAAGGGGGTGGAAATGAGATCATTTCACACCTCACGTGGAAGTGCAGACCTGAAAGAAGACTTGGGGCTCCCCCAGCACAGGTGTCCCCATTTTACAGGTGCCAAAGGCTGTGGCGGAGACAGAGATGGGGAGAGGAGTTGGCCGTGATGCGTCGTCATGGAGCATCTCACATGTAAGGGCCATGAGAAGTGAGGACAGAAGGGCAGCCAGGCTGGCTGGTCTTCATGTGGGCCAGTTGAGTGGGAATGCGGCACTCATGGGCCGGCGGAAGAATGAGCATTTGAGGAGGCAGAGTTCCCCACTCTTCTGAACCTCTGTTTTACAAAAGGCTTAGAATATAAAATTGGGACCTTGTCTTTGGAAAGGAGGGAGCAAAGTGTTAACCTGGACAGCTTTGGTGCACAAGGTGAGAGGTTTACCAAGGGCTCACACACTCTCCTTCATGGGAGAGGGTGCTTAGGAGGAGGTCTGGCTGCTGTGAGGTATGGGACCTGTCCAGGACCTTCTACTGCTACAGCAGGAACAGCACTGTGAGGGAGGGATGTTGCTCTTCCTATTTTTCAGTCGTGGAATGGAGGCTTTGAAAGGTTTGGTAACTTGCTCGAGATCACACAGCCAGCGAGGGGTAGCATGGGATTAAACACCAGTCGGCTCGTCTCCAAAGGCCTGACTGACAAAAACAAATTTCAATCGATTTTACTTTTCCTCTGTAATAGATGAGGAATATCTCATTTCAGAATATCTGAAGGTGACATTTGGAGTCGCTCATTGATTCAATTATTCTGAATCTTTATTTCAGAGCTTATTTATCTCAGGTTTTAGATGTGGAATGCTCCAAAACTATTCATTGGTTTCACTTCCCTTTGCATTGCTAAGTAAAGGTGATATAGGAGAACTACTCACAGGGGTGAGCACAGCAAGGGTACGAAGGATGTAAAATCAGACGCAGCTTTTCTATGCATCTTTCTTAAACACATTACTCTTAACCCAAGAGACAGTCAGGATCATTAACTTTCCTAATATTTTGTAAAGCATTCATATAGCAACATTTGGGGCACATGCGCACCTGGTCTTAAGTCAGGGCAGGAGTGGCTAATTAATTCTCTGATTCCTCAGGCTTCACAGTTTCAACCAGCCATAATTATTTTGCAATTGAGGTTCCCTCTCTGCCTAAACTGGCATTGTTATCAAGGGCTAAATGCATCAGCTTTGTAATAATGAAGATGGGTGCCAATTCCATCTTCCATATGGGATGAAGTTGGGGAGAGAGATGGTGGAGAAGCACTGGTCAGACTGTAAATGATATTGAGTAGAAAGAAGTCAGGGATTTTTGTTTTTAACATGAAAAAGAAATAGAATTGTAACTAAGTTGAAGTTTCTTTACTGTTTCATCTTGTTTCTTTACAAATTTCATCTTGTCATTTACAAGGGTTTATGCCACATAGCTATGGATTTGGGCCCAATATTTGACCTTATAGCAGCTCTAAAATATTAGACTGCAGTTAGGAAATGCCCTCTGGATCTGATTTTTAAACAGAACCAAATGCATTCTACTCTTTTCTGCTTTTAAGAGTAACACTGCTTGAGGATGCATTGAAGCCCTGCTAGACATCTTTGCTGATATTTGCCTTTAGCATTCTTTCTGGAGGTATTTAGACCTTAATAAACTACCATTATCCTTTAAAAAAGGACTGAAGAGAATAATATTTGTAGAAACAAAATAATCAAATACAGTCCTACATCATTTAATGTTGGGGATACGTTATGAGAAATGCATCGTTAGGCAATTTTGCCATTGTGTGAACGTCATAGAGTGTACTTACACAAACCTAGATGGTGCACCCTACTACTCCACACCCAGGCTACGTGGTGCAGCCTATTGCTCCTAGGCTACAAAGCTGTGCAGATGTGACTGTCCTGAATACTGTAGGCAATTGTCACACTGTAAGTATTTGTGTATCTGAACATATCTAAACAGAAAAGGTACAGTAAAAATGTGGCATTATAATCTTAGGGGACCACCATCACATACATGGTCTATTGCTGATTAAAATGTGGTTAAGTGGTACATGACTGTACTAGCATTAAAGTTCTTCCGAACTGAGAGGGTGGAATGGGAACAGGTACTGGCTTCTTGTTTTAAGGGCTGACTGGTGAGGAAGGTACTGGCTTCTTGTTTTAAGGGCTGACTGGTGAGGAACTTGCCACACAGAGCAGTAGGCTCAACTAGGCTGAAGACAGGCTACAGATAGGCTCCAGGGTTGACCCAGGGCCAAGATACAGCAGCTGCCTTGTCCTGGCTCGCTGCAGACTTGGCATCTCCAGTGCCTGTATCCCTGAATTTGTGGTTGAACTTAAGTTTGGGGAGTCCCAGTGGCCCTAATGAGACTGGAAATACCACCCTAAACAACCTCCTTTAGCAGCTAAACTGACAATAATAATCTGTTGTTTACTGCACAGGATTGAGATGAGTGTAGCAATCTCCTAGACGAAGGGCCAAGCTGCTCACCCACCTGGGTGGGGTGGTCAGTCTAGGGCGGCCCAAGGGGATTCTTGGGTCACGATGACCCTGGGGCTGATAACCAACTCACAAATACATAAATCAACAACATGAGGCTAGCTTCTGCTGGGGCTTTGTTGTCTGGTGGGCCTGAGTTTTAATCCCGGCTGACCTCTTACTAAGCGATTGTGGGTAAGTCATTCTAATTTTTTTCTCTCTGAGCCTCAAATTCCTCATCTATAAAGTGAGCATGAAATCCTATTCTAGTCATTCTGAGGGACAACTGAAGTGATATATGTGATAATATGAAATATGATAGATGTGATATATAGAACTGTAAAACTTTTAAAAAGTAAAATGCCTGTTAAATTGTTAAATATGTGTAATATGTGAAAAACTCCTGGCAAATATACCTACTAATATCCATTTCCATATAGTTCTTTTATATAAAAGGTAGAGCAGTATATGTAAACCTTCTAATAAAACACTTAGCTATAACTATGAATTCTCATGTGCTCTTCCTGCTGTCAGCCTCTCCTCCTGCTGTTAAATCTTTGCAAGGCCTCCTCTAGTTGTTATGTTCTGAAAAGATTCAAGTTTGTATCCTAGACTTCAAAGTTATGTCTCTCCTATGTGGTGTGTAGTGTATCACCCTGTACTTGGAGGTATGTGATACAAGAAACTAAGGAACTAAAATAATTCTTTTTTTTTTTTTTTTTGAGATGGAGTCTCACTCTGTCGCCCAGTCTGGAGTGCAGTGGTACGATCTTGCTCACTGCAACCTCTGCCTCCCGAGTTCAAGCAATTCTCCTGCCTCAGCCTCCGGAGTAGCTGGGATTACAGGTGCCCGCCACCATGCCTGGCTAATTTTGTATTCTTAGTAGAGATGGGGTTTTACCATGTTGACCAGACTGGTCTAAAACTCCTGACCTCAAGTGATCCACCTTCCTCAGCCTCCCAAAGTGCTGGGATTACAGACATGAGCCACTGTGCCTGGCCCCTACAATAATTCTTTAATGTGAGGAAATATCAAATGAAAAATAAGAAATTCTAGGTAAGGAAAGAAATTTATTTAGTGGAAGTATAAAAGAAGTTTAAAAAGTTGAAGAAAATTTTGGTTTTCAATGTTGATGCAGCGTCCTTTGTGAATCTTTAAATTTGTGAATGACACTTTTGAAAACTTACACCTTATTCTAAGTGTCTTTGTTCACTTTACACTGTACTGTAAAGAATCACAAGAGTGTCTCATAAATAACTTTCTATATAACATATGTATATTTCAAAATAACATGTTATATATATAATACATACAATTTTTGTCAATTAAACAGTACATTAAAAAGACAAAAATAACTTTCCATAAATGAGCTCAAGTTATTTCATCCACAGTGATAGAATGTTCCCCATTTGATGCAAGCAGTTAAACTTAATTTCCATTAAGACAAACACACAAATAACAATCCTCCTTCCCAAACTTGAAATCCCACTTCTCTTTTTGAACTCTCTTCATGAAGTAGTCCCTTTTCTTGCATTTACAACATAAAGCCTAAACCACAAATATTGGAGGGCAGGGGTTGAGGATGAGCAATTGAGATGTTCCTCATGCCCTTAAACCAAGAGTCCTTATGTTCTCTCCTTCCTAAGGATGGCTTATTTTCCTTTCCATGAAATGACTTTAAGGGTGATTATATCCAAAGGGAAGTGACGTTTCCCCTTCTTTCTCTTCAGTTGGTCCATTTTCACAGCCCACAAAAGCAAGTCTCTATTTTGGGACTTGATTCAAAGTCTGAAAAAACCCTAGGCACATCTTTCTTCCTTGAATATGTTCACGTGCATATTCCAAAAAAGGTTCTCATTGCTAGTTAGGCCATTAATTTTATGTGATATCCAAATCAAACAGCTGCTGTACTGTTTAAGCTCAGATCCTAAAATGGCACTTTGAACATGAAAGTCGTGGCTGCCACTCTCTGGGTGACTATCTGGCGATGACACTTCTACCTTTGTTTTTGGCTTGACGTGCATATGCCGAAGGCTTCAGCAAACATAAACTCATACAAATGTTTGTCAAGCTGTGTGAGCCTAAACAGCTCATTAGTTGCAAGAATGATCAGATGGGAGATGGGTTGCCCAATTTGGATGGTGACCTTTATGAGCTCTCGGTTGGATTGCAGATTTATGTGTCACAGTATATTGGAACATAATGAATCCTGTGGCATGTGGATGGTAAAATGCAGGGCAGAAACTGTGCAATGAAGAGGCAGGAAGAAGGTGGCAGGTCCAGGAGCATAAGAGCAGTTAATCATCTCCTTTCCCCCTTCCCCTATTCTGCTTCCCCTCTGTTCTCGGGGTGCCCATTAAAATGCAGTTGGTAATGAAATGCTGTTTGAAATCAAAGTTGCTGAAACGATATTGTGGATATTGTGGAAATCTGTCATATTTATTTTAAGGATGAGCTTACTTCCAGGTGCTTTCAGTGACTGCAGCCCCGTTAGTTCCCATGCATTGATTCTCTCTCATGTCCCTGCTCCAGGGTAATTCTCTTGTGCTCAGGCACATGACCTTCTAGTTGAAAACCTGCCCCTGCCATTTCTTTATGTGGCTGCGGCCCAGGGAGCTTGCCTGCCCTGCGTGAGCAGGTTGCAATGATAATGGTTCCCAGTGCTGCTCAGTGGGGAACTGAAGTCATGGTATTTTCCTTCATATCCTCTTGAAGCTTCATTTTGTGACCTTGTTTCATCCTGCTGAACCTATCATTGGAATTACCCCAAAGGTGGTGGCAGGGGAGTCCCCAGAAAGGAGTGCCCCAAACTTTCCCAAGATGGGGCCTACTGAGATTCCAAAGAAAGAAGCAGTAAAAGCCGGAGTGATCAGGCCAAAGCATTCATTAGGGGAACTTAGGCAGAGTGGGCTGCAGCAATCCTGCGGCGGCAGCATGAAAAAAGGGGTCTTCCACCTAGAAACATCCACAGCGAGGTGCTCAGGGGATGGAGTTTACATGAGGGTTTAAGGAATTTGGCTCAGGGCCAGGGCCAGTTTCTTTCAGTGTTTTGGGCAAAAGCTTAGATACCTTTATCAATGTGTGGGAATGTTCAAGGCCCTGGTTTGGGTTCAAGCCTGCTGGGAAAAACCTGCAGCTGTCTGGGTCACAGAGCGGTCAAGGCACTCTGTGAGTTTTGGTCACAACAGAAAGGCAAGGGCTCTAGGGGACCCTCCAGAACTACAGGCTCCAATGTCAGCCCCACTTTCCCAAGTACAAATTTATTTCAGAAATTAAAGTACTACTCTTACTTTTTCACACATTTCGAAGTCATGTGTTGACATGGATAGCCTGTCTAGCACAGGAAAACTCTGATCTATTTAACTGATTTAAAATGTTTATAATTGATTATCTGGATAAGTGTCATTGATGGCACTCCAGGTGTGTGAAGACGCCACTGGCCTGGGAATCACGACATGTGGGGTTTGTCCCAGATCCCTGCCATGCCATTTAAACACCATGGGCCTCAGTTTCCTCACAGCAAAAATTAGGGTTATACTAGATATTCTCCATGGACCTTGTCAAGTATTTTTTGTGATGCTGGGATTTTATAACTAACACAGGCAAACAATAACCTAGAATGATTAGAATCTTGAAAAAATTGTTTGTTTGTTTGTTACAGAGAATCTTGAAGTTAGCTGAAGTCTGTTTGACTTTCTTCCGGAATCAGCACAGTCCAAATGCAGCCATGACTTCTCACTGTCAGAACTAGACGGGCCACACTGAGAAAGAATGTGGACCGGCTACCCGGAATCTGGCCGCTTAGTGCATTCAAGAATGCTGCTTGGTTTCTATGGCTGTGATTTCCAAGCATTTTCTAAAAGGTTTATAGAGGAGAAACCTAAGTGCCTGCCACCACCCCACCTTGAAGTCAAATTTCCCTGAAGGCACTGGAGCATAGGGAGAAAAACATCAGCTAACTCTTGCCGCTATAGGCCCGGGTTAAATTGCAGCTGGGAAATTCATTCCAGTGGCTTGCCGGGCTAAACACAATTGTGGATGGAGCCTGGAGAAGCATCCAAGCAAACAACCACTTGTGTCAGTTCAGTTGTTTCACCAAAAAAGCAAAATAAAACAGATTTTACTAACTCAATTAATAATTCAGTTGCCCCATAAAATATAGCCTCACTGAATTTCTTGTCTTGTCTTCCAAGACATTAAGTCAGGGCTTATTTATAGCCATGGCTCTCTTCCCTGGCTAAGCATCCGGGCCACCTGCCCCAGCAGGTGAGCCCTTGGTCCAAGGTGGTCCTGGACTCAGCATGTTTTTCAGAGTTCTCCAGGTAATTCCAATGGTTAGTCAATTTATCATTCATTTGGGGCTGATTATCAGTCTTCCATGTGGATAAAACCAGTTAATTTCCTGTGGATCTTTTTTGAAAGCCTTATTAAGAGGAGGGAGCCCTGTTTTGAACTTGTGTCATGAGCTCTGCCTGTCTCTGGAGGTGGCAAGGGTGCTCGTCTTCATTCTGGTCTGTGTCGCATGCTGTCTTCCTCTGTCTCCCTACTCTTTCTCAACCTTCTTATTTACTATTCCACACACTCGCTGGGTTAGACAACCTTTTCTGTTGTTCTGCTGAAGGTTACAATTTGGAGTCGATTCCTGTAGTCTTCCTTTTTCTATTCACTTTCAAAAAAGATGTTGCAAAGTCCAAGTTTCTTCCTCATGTTCCGTTTCTCTGGGGAGTGCTGTAGAAGTTTCCATACCTTCCTGCTTCTGGCCTTCTTAGTATTTTAATAACTCCTGCCTTGTTCCCAGGTTTCTCCAAGTATCTGGGGAAAGTAGAAACCTCAGAGATGGGGTCTGGAAATGTAAAACGTTGATGAATTTCAGGGTCACCCTTGTGAAAGCTATTGATTGGTCAGAGGTATTCTGGAAAAGTCTGCAAAATCCAGAAGCTAATTTCTATTTTAAAATACACCCTATAACTCTTGAGTGCCCACTCATCCTCAGCTGGCTCTGGGGAATGGTGTCTGAGCTCACGGTCTCATCTGTGGGAGCTGCATCTCATCAACCTATTTTGGAAACCAGCATACTTCTGGTTCTGAGAATTCAGCTTAAAAACAATACCTAGTTTCCTGTATAATCCCCCCACCAAAAAAAAGTTTGCAATGTGCCCCATGTCTATCTGACACATTTTCACTTGTTTCTTCATTGATGATCTAGGTCTGTCCACCCTGCTCTATTTCTTTTCTATTTATCTCCATTATCTTAGTCTATTTGGGCTGCTGTAACAAAGTACCATAGACTGAGTGGCTCATAAATAACAGAAATGTATCTCTCACAGTTCTGGAGGCTGGGAAGTCCAGAATCGAGGCAGTGGTAGATTCGGTGTCTGGTGAGGGCCTGTTTCCAGGTTCATAGATGGTGCCTTTTCAATATGTCCTCCCATTCTGGAAGGGGCGAGGGAGCTCTCTGGGGCCTCTTTTGTAAGGGGACTAATTCCATTCACGGAGATTCTAACCTCATGACCTAATCACCTCCCAAAACCCCTACATCTTAATACCATCACTTTGGGGTTAGGATTTTAACAAATGAATTTTGGGAGGGCACAAACATCAGTCTGTAACATCCATTTGATGCCTACTTCAAAATTTTTTGTTGCTATTACATCAAAATCTCTTCTGGCTTTTTCTGAAAGTGGATTTCTATGTAACCACTTTTTCTTTTCTTTTGCATTATGACTGAGTTTTTCTTCTTAAGAAAACAAGAAGCACGGGTAGATGATGGAGAGCATGAGTGCCAGAGAGTAAGGAAGCCTGGGCTCTTCTGCCAGATTTTGTGTTAGTCGAAAACTGAGGACTTGGAGGGTTGATGAGCTGAGCTTTTCGTTGGGGCTCCTCTTTCCCATCCATGTATTGTTCCAGCAGTACAAAGTTTGTCAATCAGAGAGAATGTGGGTTCCCATGGCAAGGTGGCTTCCAGTTTTCATACTCTGTAAAAGGCTTAGTGATGGAAGGAGATTAAATGTAATGCTTTAATGTGGATTTAGGTAGAGATCTTGTACCACAGAAAATTGGAAATCAAGGGTGAAAAACTGAGAAATGGAGTGATGTCTTTTTCTTCCATACAATTTCATATTTGCAAAGTAAATTAACTCTAAATAGTTTAGGGTTTTATTCCAGAAATCTATAAAACTTTAAAGAATCTTGGCATCTGATTGATTTTTCTAGTTTATGAAAAACTGACAATATTCTAAGCCAAAGACACATTCAACATAATAATGCAGGTTGAGTATCCCTTATCTAAAATGCTTGGGACAAGAACTGTTTTAGATCTAGGATTTTTTTTTGAATATTTGCTTATTTACCTGTTGAGCATCTCTAATCCCAAAATCCAAAATCCAAAATCCAAAATGCTCCTGTCAGCATTTCCTTTGAGCATCATGTTGGTGCTCAGAAAATAGTGAATTTTGAAGTATTTCAAATTTCAGATTTTTGGATTAGAAACCTACATATCAAAAAATATTTTGTGTAATGTCTTACGATGTGTGTGTTTGGAGCCTTCTCAGGGTTAAGCAGATATGAAAAGCCCACGTTTTCAGGAAAGAATTTAAGAAAATAAAGGGCCAACATTTTTTCCCTCCTGGCTCCATGTCATAATATTTTTGCCGGCTGCAGAGTCTATTCTTTTCTATCTTCAGACTTATCACTATCAAGCATTTTCCATTCCCCACAATTCTCATTTTTTGTTATCTTTTTGCACTTGCAAAAACTGAAATTTGGCTTGAATGAGACACATTTCCCTACCCTTTATCTCTCACTGATTCATTCCTTGAATTGGGACAAATCTTTCTAATCTAAGCCAGTTTCATCCTCTTGCAATACAGTAACCTGTGTCAGCAGAGTCCTGTGTGGGATGAGTTTGGCAGAATTGCAGACTGCATTTTTGGACCTAGCAGTTGAAGATGATTCTGTCCCTCATCAATTTTTTTCCGCAAGGGCACTTTTGCCTTCAAATGGTATTGTGTTTTTCTATTTCCTTTATCTAAAGAAAGTCTTCAACTTAGTTTTGTTCTGTTCCTGTGAATGTCGGCACAGGAAAGTCCTTGAAGAACATGAGAAACAGGAGCTTCATCTGGGCTCTGTGATGGTGCCGTTGTATGAATTGAAATCCATCAGGGTGGGACTGGTTATCTGTCTAACAAAGATGCAATGAGACATGATTGAGAGTGTGCTTCGGGTGGAGTGTTTCTTACATTTTGAGGTTAAAAGCCTTTTCTGTCATTGTTTTTATTATTTATTTATTTATTTTTATTAGAGATGGGGTCTTGCTACATTGACCAGGCTAGTCTTGAACTCCTAGCCTCAAGCAATCCTCCCCCACCTTGGCCTCCCAACGTGCTGAGATTACAGGAGTGAGCCACCGCACCCAGACTCTGTCATTGATTTTGACAAGTTTTTTTTTTTTTTTTTTTTTTTTTGGTTGTTGTGGTTTTGGAAGTTTTTTCTCAGAAAGGACATACTTGACTGAATTTTTCTCAGAGCCTAATTATTATTTAGTTATTTGTATTTATTTCTTTTTGATTTCACTACAGTAGCCACTATATCTTGAGTAAATTTAGCTTTTAACTTGCTTTATGTTTTGGTAGATCTTAGTGATTATGCAATTTGATGATGCCATTCAATATCAAGGTCAGACCACAGCATGTACAAGAGGTTGCTGTCACGTGATAGTTTTCCATTTTCATCTCTTAGTATGCTCTCTTATTTCTTGCTTTGCTCATTCAATGAATGTTTTAAGAGTCTGATTGAGATATTACCTCATAGTAGATTACTTTCCCATTAATGTTTGCTCACTCATCTGTAGGCCTAGGAAGCTTTATATCTATTTACAACAGCGACTAGGACCAATAGTGTGCTGTTAAATGCTTAGGAACCAGTTCTCCAGGAAAAAAAAGTCCTGATTGGCAACGTCTGGCCATTTCCATAGTGTAAATCTCCCACTGTGGCTGATTTCCAGCTATTTCTGGTTTAACAAGTGGCTCACAAAATTCTTGAAAGTTTATCAACTGGCTTTCACCAGGAGGATGGCTCCAGCACCCACCACACCTGACAACAGTTATATTACTTTACGGATGATAAAAAGCTTTATCATCGTTTTATTTCATTTCTGATTTACAAAACAACCCTGTAGAGTAGGTGGTGTTATACATGAGGCATCTGAGACTCAGAGGCCTAAGTGGCTGGAAGTAGCTCCAGCAGCTATTATTAGGCAGAGCAGAGACGGAATGCTGCCTCTGAGCTGAGCATTCTTGGTGTTCTCATCACTCATGGCAACTGTTTCCCATTGTGAGGATTCCCTTAGTGGTGTCATATTTGGACTCCAAAGAAGTATACTCAAGAAATGACTACTTCGATGGTTTTAGCAGATAATTTTTAGTTATTTGAGGATAAGAATAATAGTCTGCTTATGAAAGAACTTGGTAAATTTTTTTCTTCTGGTTTTCAGACACCATTTCTGTCTTAAAATGAAGTATCTGGTGTATGATTGCTTTGTAATATTTTGTTACTTAAGGGTGGTATCCAGACAACCCTTAGTTAATGTTATAGAATCAGAACTAGAAAGACCTCTTCATTCTTCACTTAGAGAGGATTTAAGTGTCTCTGGCCATTTATTGGGTTAATAATGGTGACTTCAGGTGACCCAGGAAACATCTGGATATCTTTGCTGCACTTGGAAAGACATTTAGTTTGGTAATATTTTCAAATCATGTGATCATTTCAAAATGACTTGCACCATGGAGTGATGATGTGATGCTGGCAGCAGCTGCTGTTTGCTGGAGATTTCGTGTGTCAGGCACAGTTGGGAATACTTTATGAATATTAGTTTATTTCTCACCTTGAAGGTAGACATTGTTCTCAGTTTGTTGAAATCGAGGCTCATGTAAGTAAAAAATGCCCACATTCATAGCAAATAAGTGACAGAGTTAGTCTCTGACTCTGCAAAGGACTTATATGGCTTTTGTATAATAAAGTCGGTCACCCCATTTTGGTAATAAAAGGGATAATAAAAGACCAACATGTCTTCATTAGCTTGCAGATAAGCTCCAAGTTTCAGCACGTGCATAGTTTGTAATGCCTTCACAGGGTCTGCAGGCTCATTGCCATGAAAATATAGAACTAACAAGAATTTAGTTTTGATTGACATAGTTTATAAAATGTTCTTTTTTTTTTTTTTTTTTTTTTTTTTTTTTTTGAGACAGGGTCTCTGTCGCCCGGGATGGAGTGCTGTGGTGCGATCTTGGCTCACTGCGGTCTCTGCCTCCCAGGTTTAAGCAATTTTCCCACCTCAGCCTCCACAGTTGCTGGGACTGCAGGTACCCGCCACCATGCCTGGCTAATTTTTGTACTTTTAGTAGAGAAGGGGTTTCACCATGTTGGCCAGGCTGGTCTTGAACTCCTGGCCTCAAGCAATTTCCTTGCCTTGGCCTCCCAAAGTGCTGGGATTACATGCGTGAGCCACCGCGCCTGGCCTAAAACATTCTTTTAACAAAAGCATAGCTTTATGTTGAATTCAGGTAGATTCGAACCATTGCTTTTAATAACACAATATGGGTTCTTTCAGACTCTTGGGGTAGATTGAACTTCTCATAAAACTGTCATGGGACAGATTGCAACTTCTTTCCAATATCAGAATCTCTAGGTGAGTTCATCCATTTCTTTGCCCTGGGCTTTTTAAGAAAGTAGGGCAATGAGTCCCTGGTTTCTCATCTCCGTAAGAATGAAAGGATGCTGGAGCCAAGGTCTAGTCTACTGCCAGTTTCTCCAGGAACAATGTGGAGGAAAAGGACCAGTGTAGATCAGAAGTCCATGAGCGGAAACTCAGAATCAAAGCGGTTATTCAATTCTTCTTTTCTTGGAGGAAATCACTGTGTCGCCTGAAGAGAAAAATGCCCTTTGCTCTTGCACTGGGGAGTTCTGTTTAGTGCCTTTCCACACAAAAGGGCTGTACTGGCTGGTACTATAGACTTTTTTTATGAAGATCTTTTTCATAAATCCTTTTGCAGAGTATAGCCAGGTAGCAGTATATGAACATTGGAAGTGAAACAGTTTTCGTCACACAAAATTAACAATAAAAACACATGCAACTCATCATTTATAAAACGATACTTGCAATTTTTCATTATTCTCATTTCTGAGGGCAAATTTTCAGATGAAAACAGAAAGGAATTTTAGAAGTTTTCATTTTTTTTTCCTACATCAGGCTTCCCTATATGTCGTCTGTATAACAAGCACCTTGATCTTTCATTCAGTTATAAGAGGCTCATAAGCGTTGCCTCTGTTTTCTATATATTGGTAGTGTCATTAGAAAACCTGAGGGGGTGGGCCGGGCGCAGTGGCTCACGCCTGTAATCCCAGCACTTTGGGAGGCCGAGGTGGGCAGATCACGAGGTCAGGAGATTGAGACCATCCTGGCTAACACAGTGAAACCCCGTCTCTATTAAAAATACAAAAAATTAGCTGGGTGTGGTGGTGGGCGCCTGTAATCCCAGCTACGCAGGACGCTGAGGCAGGAGAATGACATGAACCCGGGAGGCAGAGCTTGCAGTGAGCCAAGATCGCACCACTGCACTCCAGCCTGGGTGACAGGGAGACTCGTCTCAAAAACAAAATAAAACAACAACAACAACAAAAAAATCTGAGGAGGTGGACACCATTTTTTGGTACTGAACGACGTGATGACCGTTTAAAAAGAAAGGTAGATGTTAAGAAGGCTTCCTTATACAAAAATTCTTGTATATTGTTCCTTCCAATTTTATTTTTGTTTTGATATATAAAATCCTATGTTAAATCTCTCATCCTGAATATCAGATTACTCCAGAAGGAGAAAGTAGCAGTCTAATTATTTTATTTGGTTGCATGGTAGTCTTAGTACAATTAAATCTCCTTTGAAAGTTTCTCAGTTATGTAGTTATGAATAGCACTCCACACCACGGCTGTGGTAGACCTGGAGCGGTATTGGGCCCAGGTCACAGAATGATCACGGAAGGACTTTAGAGATCACCTATTGAGTCCCTGTTTTAGAGAGGAGCAAGCAAAGGCCCAGAGAACTCACTCCATTTGCCGAGGTCCGACAAGTGTGTAGGTGAGCTGGAGCCAGAACCCTGTCTTTCGGTCTTCACTCTAGAGCTCTTTCCAAACAAACATGCTGACCTGGGAGTCTGACAATTGCTGTATGCTGATGTTTCCTATTTGAAGTCCACATGTCTTTGCAGGGGAAGAGAACTGTCTAGTATCATTCGTTAATGCCCACTCTTCATGTTTGCCAAAGACCACCAATACATTGGGCAGTGATTGTGTTACACTGGTTTGTTTATATGTCGGCTTTCAGTGATGCCAGAAAATCAAAAGGAGGTTAAGAAATCCCAGAGGTTCACCCAGGATGGGAGGCTAAACCTTTGTTGTATTATGAGTCTTAATTCAAGATAACATAATCTTTAGCCTAATAAACATTAGGTTGAATTTTGAAAATGTAAACACTAACTGATCTGTAGACTGACGTCTATTTCCTTGGCAATATTGGCCACACCCATTAAATAATAACTTCTCATTCTCCCTTCCCCCAGCCTCTGGCAACCTCTGTTATACTTTCTGTCTCTGAATTTGACTACTTTAGGTGCCTCATATAAGTGGAATCACATGACATTTGTCCTTTTGTGATACGATATTTTCTTTAAAAAGAAAATGAACAGAAACAGTACATGAGAGAAGTCAGGTCTGCAGCCAGTGTGCCTCTTAGTTCCATATTCATACAAGGCCCTCTTGGAAGCTCAGCTTTGGAGTTGGATATTATCTCAGAAGATATGGCAGCTTAGGAATCTGGTACTCTAAAAACAGATTTACAAGCATTAGACTTTTTTGTATATGTGTGTGGTCATTTTAGTCTTCCTGAAAGTGGTTAAGACCAATATTTCTAGGCAGACTATAGTTCACATCATCCAGTTCTGTAAGTCTTGGATTATCGATCTCATTGTCATGGCAAAAAAGGACAGGGATTACTCAACTCATTACTCCTGTGTCCAGACCTCTGAGCCTGGTGTGTGTGTGTGGCTCAGTGCCTTTCCCATAGTGGCCCACATCCCCCCAGGGCCCTGCATGAAGTTCCTGCAAGTCTACCCCCTGCACGTGCAGAGCAAAAAGAGCTTCCTATGGGAGCTGTTCTCCAGAAAAGACAGAAACCCGGGCCCTAGAGAACCAGAAGATTTAAATTCCAGTTTCAGCTCTGCCATTGACTAATTAGGCAACTGTAGGCAGTTCACTTTGCTCCTTTGGACCAGAGATTTCTCATCTACAAAATGAAAAACTTGGATTTAATTATCTCTGAAGTCACTTCAAGCAGAAATGTAACAATTCTTTGATTTATTAAAAAAAATAACATCAATGATAATGACCAACAGCTAACACTTATTACAAGGCTCCAGGCACTTTCGAAGTCCTTAATATTTAATGTTCACTACTACCTTAGGATATAAGTACTGTGATGCAGAGTCCTGGACACAGAGAAGTCAGCAACTTGCCTGAGGACAGCCTGCAGGACACAGCACTGTGATTTGAACCCAGAGAGTCTGACTTCAGCCCCCAGCGCTCAACTACTATTAATTGAAAGGGCATTGAAGAGACATGATGTCACAATAAAAAGAAAAAAAGAAAAGAAAGCATGTCTTCGACTTTCTAGTCGTCGTGCTTTGTATGGATTCTTCTTTCAACCTTGACGAAAGGGTATAATTAATCTGTAATTAAAGTCATGATAGTTTCTTAATACGAGGAAATGTTGTCATTGCGGTTCTCTGAACACAAGAGGGCGCTGTGGCAAAGCTTACCGTCTGCTCATCCTCTGCCGCAGGAGGGTACAACTTCGTGGGACAAACTTCAAAAGAAAGATGCCATTTCTAAGACCTCATTTATCACCTCGGGATAGCCAGTCTTCATGCCTTTAAAATACAGAATAAAAATAACACATAAATCAACACAATTACATTCCTTCTTGATAGCATCACCAGTCTTCTTGAGGCCTGGCGTCAAACCTCTGCTTCAGTGTTACGTTATGGGGTGCGCATGCCTCCTTAATACCCACCTTGCTGGTATTCTCCAGATGGCTGTCTTCTTAGCAGTAGATGGAATTAAGCACCATAATGAGGGATATTTTATTTAAATCTGCTTTAAAAAAATCTTCCATGACTTATTCACATGTCTGGTTAGCTATCACACTGCCATTCCATGTGATCGGAAATGAGAAAGATTTAAAGAAAGTAATTGTTTAGCATGCAACGGATGTACCTCTTTTGCTTCAGATGAGAATAGGCAGCATAGAAGAACTGGGGCTGATTCGTGGAAGGTTTCCCGTAGCTAGACCCTGGAGGCTGTAAAAAGTGGTTTGGAACTGTGTTTAAAAAATAATAATAATAGAGGGAATAGTGAGGTACCCAGGAGGAGCAGAGAGCGCCTGTTCCAGCCATGGGAGCATCCCCATCAGATACATAGATGCTCTTAATTAATTAGGCTGCTAGTAAACCCTCCTGAGTGTGCAAGACAGGAGGAATTCATTTTCAAGCTTTAAAAAAAAAGATGAGTCTTGGGCACACAGCCCTGTGGCCCATTTGTTATTGTCGTGTTACCCATAAGTCAGCAGTTTTCCTCTCCTGTTGTTGATAGATCTTCCCATACAGTTAGATTTGTTTAGAAAGAAAAGTTTTAAGTCCTTGCAAATGATTACAAACTGAAGAACTGGAAACCCTGGTTAGGAAACAGTTGGAGCACTATGTATGGCTTAATGAAAGGACACAGTCTTTTTAATCCACCAAGCCTGAATCATCAGCTTGGTTAAGACTATCTGTAGAAGGTGAGCAGAGCACTTCAAACCTGGCTATTCGCAAGGGAGAGAAAAAAGCTGCCACTGTCCCCTTAGCATTCCTCTGCTAATCTTCCATTTGTATTGCAATAAGTGTGCTTTGGCATTGAGTGTGTTTTAAAGCTCCTGCTTAGCTGGCTGGGGGACAAGAAAAAACAAAACCTCAAGGACACTCCCACTCAGAGGCATAAAAAAATAAACAGTTGTTTCTGCTTTTGAGAAGAAGTCACATGCATGTGGCTGGCATTCTCAGGTGGGCAAAGGAGAGTGCTCGGTAGCACCTGCCCCAAACCCTCCGTTCTCCCCTTTTTAGGTCAGAAGAGATTCTGCTTTCCTATCTTGTCTCCAGTTTTCACTCTTAGTCCGTATTTTCCCTCCCCTTTTCCACTCTGTCCTTAACTCCTCTTTCCCTCTTTCATCGTTTTCCTTTATTTTTCATCTCTTTCTTTATTCCTTCTCAAGGGTTTGCCGGTGGTTTTGCTAGGCAATACTGAGCTTCAAGGCCATTGTCATGGAAGTTTCCAGTCCTGGGATGTGCTTAGACCAGCCTTTAACTATGCATCCTCAAAACAGCTGGCAGCCTAATCAAACCTTATTTTTTTTCTCTTTGTGAGAGAGGTGAAGAAGATGATAACATGAAATGAAATCTAGGGCCTTTAGAAAGAGTCAGCAAACCAGGCGCAGTGGCTCACATCCATAATCCCAACACTTTGGGAGGCTGACGTGGGGATCACTTGAGGCTAGGAGTTCAAGACCAGGCTGGGCAACATAGCAAGACCCCATCTCTTATATATATATATATATATATATATATATATATATATATATATTTAGCTGGGCATGATGGTAAGCAACCATAGTCCTGGTCACTCAGGAGGCTAAGGCAGGCGGATTGCTCAAGCTCAGGAGTTTGAGGCTTCAGTGTGCTGTCATTGTGCCACTGCACTCCAGCTTGTGTGACAGAGTAAGACCCTGTCTCTAAAAAGGAAAAAAAAAAAAAAAGAGTTACCGGTTATACATTTTTGAGAGGAGCAATGGGGAAATGCAATCATGGGGTAATAATAATCAGGACAAGAGCAGGGGTATGTACTGTCCCCCACCCTGCTGCCCTAAATGCGAGGAAGAAGCCACGTTGCTGGACCCATAATGAGAAGCTTCAGAAGGTTGATAGAGAGTGCTGATCTTGAAGACATTTAGTCTGGGACACAGACTACATATCAGCATGTCAAACATATCAGCTTGCTTGAATGAATGAGTGAATGAATGAATGAGTGAATGAAAAGTGGTGAAGGAAGAAGATGGTTGGGTTTGGGAGAAGAATATGCCTGAAAGATATACAACCACCGGGGAGTCTGTCTTGTCTTTACAGACACTTAACTCAGGAACAGACTTGCTGGTTGTCTTGAGTGTGAAGTGCAAAAAGTAAAAATGGCCCTCAACAAAAATATAAGTCAGGCCTGTGTTAGAGATGTCAAAGATGAAGACCTTTATGATGATCCATTTCCACTTAATGAATAGCGTCTTAGTCCATTTTGTGTTGCTATAATGGAATAATTGTGGCTGGGGAATTTATAAAGAAAAGAAGTTCATTTGGTTCATGGTTCTGCAGGCTGTACAAGAAGCATGACACTGGCATCTGCATCTGGTGAGGGCCTCTCTCTCTTGCTTCCTCTCTGGCCATGTGATCTCTGGCCAGAGAGGAAGCAAGAAAGAGGAGGAGGTGCCAGGCTCTCTAGGGGAACTAATAGAGTGAGAATTCATTCACCCCCGAGGGAGAGTATTAATCTGTTCAAGGGTGACCTGCACCTATGCCTCAAACACTGCCCATTGGGCTCCACCTTAAACATTGGGGAGCAAATCTTAACTTTAGCTTTGGAGGGGCCAAGTATCTAAACCATAGCAGAGTCTCTTTGTGATGATCTTGAGATGAAATTGTTTGGGCCTTGGTTCCTGAGAGGGGTCTTGCCTTATTCAGCAGTCATATTTTTTTCTAGATAAAATTCTTACTATCCTTTAGACCTGGGGAGAGCCCGTGTATGAAAAACAGAACACAAAGCTGAACTTTAAATAGGAAAAAGCTAGCAAAGGGACTACCTCTGGGGGCACTACTTGAGCCTGTAAGCAGTGGTTATAGGAGATCTGAGAGTACGGGGGTCCTAGAGACAGGTCAGTTCTTAGGGTGGGGCAGGATATAAGAAAGGGAGAGTGAGGAAGGCTCAGAAGATGAGGTTTGAACACTTGGCCACCATTTTGCCTGGGATCATCAGGGGAAGCTCCTGATATGGGAACATCACTCCCAGGCAGGACACCAAGAGGCAAAGGCCAGTGTGCTCTATTTAGTAAGAAGGTAAGATAAGGGCCAGTGTGATAAGTGCATGGAGCCCCATGGGCATCCAATTAATAAAACAGTGATGGACCACTACAATTTAAAGTCCTTTCTTAGATGAGCTAGGCAAAAGGTTCTAATTAGAGATACCTGTCTTCCCCTCTTTTCCCTATAATGCATCCAAAGATCTCAGGTGTAATAGATTTGCAGCTTGTGCTAAGTAGTTGGCCAGAGTGTGCTGGCTTCTGTGACCTACGTCTCTGAGCGGCCCGAGCTGTCTGTTGGTGTTATCCTGAGCTCGTTGTGGGAAGGCGGCTGGAGCAGGGTGTGCTGCCCATCTGTGGCTCCATCAGTTTCCATAAGGCTTCAGCTTGATCAGTGCAGCACGAACTGTGGCATGTTTGGGGCTTGGGAGATTGACAGCCCCCCAAAAAGCCCTCAAAACATGGTCAAGAGGACAAACGAGAATGATAGACATATCTTCACTATTGCCAGCCTATTAACCTATTACAAACTCTGTTTTTAGAGATTAGCCATTAGTTTTTCCTTCCAAAATTATTATGCTGTTGTCATTTCCTCCACAAACTGAGATATGCCTGGTGAAATGACTTAATTTAAAAAGTAATTTAGATTATATTTTAAAGAATAAATATTTTCTTCAAACTTATCTGATTTTCAAACGATCATGACTTTAATTTTGCTCTAGTAATGCACTTTCTGAGAATAAATGGGAATCTCAGTTTTGTAATATGTACCCGCATTTTTCTTCTTACAGCTATTGGGGGTGCACTGTTGGGGATGTGGTGGGGGCTGGACCTGTGTGGAATAGGGCAGATACTGTGTGCGGGTCTCCACTTCTCAAAGGAGCTTCAAAGCTGACTGCACTCATTGATGCAGCGAGCCCAGGGCCTTGTGATGTTCCCTTTCTTGTTGGTTGGTGCTGGAAAGTCTAGAGTCACAGACTCCTTTTGGACTAGGCTACAAATGCATATATACTTTGCAGAGCATTGCCTATTAGTCGCCATTCTCTCCTCAGAGTGTAGGCAGGTTCCGAGGGCAGCACCTAATGTGGGAAGAGAGAATAGAAGGTTCTGGGGAAGGGGACCCACTCTGGGCAGAGGGAGAAGGATAGGGAGGTGGTTTGGGGAAGAATCACAATTATCCTTACTTTAATTAATACATTTCCTTGGATGGCACCAACAGTGAACACAGCCACACGCTCTTCTGCCCATAGTGCTAAGTGGGTTCTCTCTTTGACTAGAATTGTGTCGTTGATGTGGAAGTGCAGTTGAATTCAAACGATCTGTAGCTGGTGGCTTTTATTCCTGAAGTTCAAATATAGACAACCCTCTTAGCAGGTTCTACCATAGTTAGCCAACCATGTGTTAATCTCCGCCTCTTTGTCTTCTGTCTTAAAGGAAGTCAGGCCACCCTAAATCGCGGCCTCTCATGTGTGCCTGACTGTGGAGAGTGTGATTTTCCAGCAGTCTCTGGGTCTCTATAATGTTTGAATTTGCCTTTGGGGTGCATGCGTGTGGTATGTGTGGCATGTGGGGTCAGGGGTGGTGAGACCAGCTCTGAATTGTTTCCAGGGCAGCTTGGTGGCACCCTGGCCAGATCCTGCATGTGACATTTCCCAACAACTCTTTCTGGTCTGTGTCTCACCTGTCATAATTCAAAGGAGAGCCATGGACTGTGTGCGCTAGATTCACCTTCAGAGACTGGAGAGTCCCATCTCTGTACCACAGTGGACACCTGGACTTCCTCTGGCTTTCTCTTGGGGACTCTGCCAGGCAGAGGCCCTCAGCCGTGCACTGGGACAGTTCTGTGGGCAGTGGCAGGAAGCCTTCAGTCGGTGAACAGCGTGAAGACAGCCTGATGCATGCAAGGCGTGGGGATGTGATTGTGTGAGCAGATCAATACCTATATCTCAAAAATGAGAACTTTCACTTTAGTACTTGATCACTTACCCTATTGAATTATGTAAGTACTTCAGTCTCTTCAACATTGGCTTTCTTTCATTCTTTGTTTTTTTAATCTCCCATCTTAGTAATGAAAAAAAATGTATGTGTCATGTGGTTCTTTTGTAAGGTTATTTCTCTCCATTTGCTTGAAAACTTTCTTATTACTCCTAACTCCTTTTATTGATTTAATGAAACCAAATGCTCCTGAAAGTTTGACCCTGATCTAGTGATACCTGCACTCTCTAGGTCCCTAAAAGACCCCACAGTCTGATGCTTTGGCTGCAGATGGAGTCACAGAGATGATTCAGCTTTAAAGTGTCTACATCATAGATTGGAAAATGCCTTTCTAGGGCTGAAGTTGTAGCTGTTTCCTAGACTTCTGTTTATTTTCCATTTCTTTACCCACTCCTGTTTGAAATTCTGCTGTTGTTTGCATACTGTTTGCCTTTGTGTCCCTCTTTCCATCTGTTCTTAAAAAAAAAAAATCAACTGAGTTTTATTTTAAACCAATCCAGATGACAGGCACACAGTCTTCACAATGCTTTGGAAACCAGTTGAAGAAAATTCTCGTTAAATTACTCATCCACCCAACTCATTTTCCATACATGATCTATTGTTGGGGTGCCTGCCTGTTTTCAAGATAAGTGCATATTTCAGAGGCAGGTTCCTTTTACCCCAGATAAGCAATTATTTAAGAAATTGGCTTTGACATACATTTTCAGTTTTAATTTTTCCTTTTACATTCTGAAATAATCTCTGGTTGCATGTAGCTTCCCACTACTGCATATAAAGATGTATTCCAGGCATCCGTCAGGAGTTTGTCTATTCCATGAAGAAGACATTGCTGTGGAAGAAGATGGTGGGAGGCCTGATGTCCTTTCTGTGCAGCCCTGCAAGGGCCTTCACCTCCAGGGCCTAATCTCACAAGCACCGACTCTGCACTCAGATTTCCGACAAGAACTTCCGCTGTAAAGTGGCCATGTTAAGGAGACCTTGGGAAGAACAAACCCATTATCTGATATTGAGTCACTATGAAAGATTTGGGAGTCTTTCCCATTAGTGCCCCGGTAAGAGAGGCACAAGAGGATCATGCAAGGCTACTAATCTCCATTTCAAAGCCAAGAAGAGGTCATCGATTTATAGTAGGGCTGCAGATCAGAAGCAAAGCGGACTTCAGCCTGATAGCAGTCAAAAGACTTGTGTTTCAGCCCCTTTCTATGATGTCCTTTGACTAGCGCCCCTTCCTGTGTCCCTCCCCTGCATTCCATAGCATTGGGTCTTCTACAAGGGACCAATTAGTGATTTGAAAACCAAAGTGAATAGAGTACTTATAAAATCTGGTGGTGCACTCACAGGAGGAAATGAGTTGGGAGGGTTTAGGAATTGTAAGGACAAGTTTACTAATGAGAAGGCAGGTTAGGAATATCCTTAAGGAAAATGCAGATGACAAATTTCCAGCTATCAAGGAAAACGGGTTCAACCTCATAATTAGATCATTCCCGCAGAGCCAAGGAACTGCAAAACACATGGATCTTCACTGCCATGGGAGACTGACTCTAAGAAGAGAAAGTTGTCAGAGGGGTTCTGTGTGGAAAATGTAATTGGAATCCCCAAATTATGACTTCTATCATTGGAAGAGGGCATCTTAAATAATTTTTTTTTTTGAGACAGAGTCTTTCTCTATTGCCCAGGCTGAATGCTGAAGTGCAGTGGTGTGATCTTGGCTCACTGCAACCTCTGCCTCCCAGGTTCAAGCAACTCTCCTGCCTCGGCCTCTGAGTAGCTGGGACTACAGGCATGCACCACCACGCCCAGCTATTTTTTTTATTTTTGGTAGAGATGGAGTTTCACTATGTTGGCCAGGCTTGTCTTGAACTCCTAACCTTAGGTGATCCACCTGCCTGTCGGCCTCCCAAAGTGCTGGGATTACAGGTGTGAGCTACCGTGTCTGGCCTTAAATAATCTTTTATTTTTTATTTTTGAGAAAAAGTCTCACTCTGTCACCAGGCTGGAGTGCAGTGGCACGTTCTTGGCTCACTGAAACCTCTGCCTCCTGGGTTCAAGCGATTCTCCTGCCTCAGTCCCCCGAGTAGCTGGGACTACAGGCGCACACCACCACGCCCAACTATTTTATTTTTATTTTTTAGTAAAGATGGGGTTTCACCATGTTGGCCAGGGTGGTCTCGATCTCTTGACCTCCTGATCTGCCCACCTCGGCCTCTCAAAATGCTGAGATTATAGGTGTGAGCCACCGCGCCCAGCCAATATTCTTAAATAGTGATGTTCAAACACATGGCCTGGCCAAAGACTTCCTAACTCACTCTCATTGATTTTTGTCCCTTCCATTCAAAAACACTTGTTTTCATAGTCCTGTGCTTCAAAACGATAAAACAATTTAACCCTGTATTAACCATCTGAATTATTAAGAATACCAGGCTGGGCGTGGTGGCTCACGCCTGTAATCCCAGCACTTTGGGAGGCCGAGGTGGGCGGATCACGAGGTCAGGAGATCGAGACCATCCTGGTTAACATGGTGAAACCCCGTATCTACCAAAAATACAAAAAATTAGCCAGGCGTGGTGGCGGGTGCCTGTAATCCCAGCTACTCGGGAGGCTGAGGCAGGAGAATGGCGTGAACTGGAGAGGCGGAGCTTGCAGTGAGCCGAGATCGCGCCACTACACTCCAGCTCTAGCCTGGGTGACAGAGTGAGACTCCGTCTCAAAAAAAAAAAAAAAAAAAGAATACCATAGCATTAAGTGAGATACCAATGAAGACATGAAAAAAATCTCCATCAGAAACTAGGGTGGAGACATCGTAAGCCCTCAGGATCCAGGCAGAGCATCATCAGGATGTGGCCATCTGGTTCTCTGCCAACCTTATGCTGTCCTCTCACTTGTCCAACCCATGGATATCAACATTGATAGAAAAATCAATCTCTATCTTTGTAAAATCTGCCCTGTCTGTGGCAAGCTGAATTTTTATTAAGCTGTAATGTTTGGAGTAGATGATCCAGGATGCTATGGTCAGTGATGGGGAGAGGAGAAGACTCTGCAGCTGAACCTGTGGGGATGTGAGCCACCAGCCCCCAGCCCTGGTGAGTGAAGGCCACCTGTCAGCTGAGTAAGGGGACATGAGCCACCAGCCCCCGGCCCTGGTGAGTGAAGGCCACTTGTCAGCCGAGTGTTAGACAGCCAGGGGCTCCTCATCCTGCTGCCTGGGCGCTCTGGCAATGTCTGCTGCTGTAAGGATGGCCAGCTGCCTACCAAGGTTTGAAATCATGAGCAGTATTGACCACCCCTTGGGTACTTGGGCAATTCACTTCCCTGGCCTTGACCTCACTTCCCTGGCCTTGACCTCACTGTTTTCTCATCTGTAAATGAGAAAAAGAGTTGAGATGATCTATAAATTTCCCTCTAACACATCTAGGTCTGTCATTACTTAAACATATTAGTTTGAAGGAACTAAACTGTACTCCCTCTGAATTACCAAGTACAAGGCTCCATGGTCATTTTCACTCTCCTGTCTGGTGACAGCAGGTGTGGCTTGGCTTTGCTCTTCTCCTTCCTTCCAACTTTCTCCTAAGGTCTATAATGGACAACTTAGATCATTCACAATTCCCCCACACAGTTTGGCTTGGGAATTGGGGCCACAAATAAAGAGGACAAAAGAGGGAAAAAGCATAAAGCAAACTGTACCAGAAGGTATGTGAATGGCGAGGACACGTTGGCTAATGGGGCCATGGTGTAGCCCATTAACTCAGCTTCCTAGGAATGCTCTTGAACTAGTTTCTATTTGGAAATGACTGATAAATGTGGGCTGAAAAGGCCCGAGAGCCCCAAAATACAGCAAGGACACTCTGAAGGACCCCCTCTGATATACTTGGGATGTGTGTCCCTGCCCAAATCTCATGTTGAAATGTAATCTTCAGTGTTGGAGGTAGGGACCTGGGGGGAAGTGGTTGGATCATGAGGGTGGATCCTTCATGAATAGTTTAGCACTATCCCCCGCATTGTACTGTCCTCACGATAGTGAGTTCTCATGAGATCTGGTCATTTAACAGTGTGTGGCACCTCCCCGCTTGCTCTCTTGCTCCTGCTTTTGTCATGTGATGTGCCTGGCCTCTTTTTGCCTTCTGCCATGAATGTAAGCTTCCTGAGGCCTCCCCAGAAACCAAGGAGATGCCAGCCTCATGCTGACTGTAAAGCCTGCAGAACAATAAACCAATTAAACCTCTCTTTTTAATACATTACCCAGCCTCATGTATTTCTTTATAGCAATGCAAGGATGGCTTAATACACCTTCCCATCTCATATGTCTTTTAACATCTTAAGTTCATAGCAAGATGTAGCAACAGTGGCTGCAGCCTACAGAGCAAGCTTGCCTTTTGTAGAAATGGTGTAATTGCCACTGACCCGTGATAGTTGCAATCTGGGTTTTAAAGCTTTGTGTCTGAACACTCCACACGTTTTAGCATTCCTGAATCCTAGAATTCAGTGCTGCAAATGAGTTTCAAGAGGGTTTATGGTTTTCAGGGGCCATAGCAGGCTGTCTCTGAAGCCACAACAGAGGTGGGCAGGCTACAGCTGGAGTAATCATGACTGATTCTTTTCTGCTGCTGCCTCAGTGACAGGTGTGTGGATTTACTTTGTCCCTCCCACCTTTCTTTGCTTCCCACCCTCATTGTTAATGGTAAAGCAAAGGCTTAGGGTAATGGGCAGGGTGTGTACAGGGTGCCCACTGCTAAATGGTTCCACCTGGGTGGAGACAGGCCTGATGGGAGCCACAGAAGAGTACTGATATCATAGCCATCCAAAGGGCCACTCTGGAGGGAGAGCGGAGAGCAGACTGGGGTTACATGATCAGTGGGTCAAGTCAGCAGTCACAAGGAAATCTCCCCAACAAGTAAAGAACTAAAAATTAGAAGGGGAAGATTTAGTTTAATATAAGGACCCATTTCTTATCAAGAGCTCTGTGACACCTACCATTCTCAGGGGTGGCTCACATGAGCCCACCTTCTTACTGCAGAGACCAACCTTGTACAGCCAGGAAAATTTACTGGATGTTCACAGACATCTTTGTTGTATATTCCTGACATAGGTTATTGACAAGCACTGTTACGGTTTTGAGCACCAAGAGAAAAAGGTCATGTTGTACTAGTGAATCAACATAAGTGTAATGGCTAAATTCAATGTACAATGGGACTATAACTTACCTCCTTTACTGTTTAAAGAAAAGTCAAGATACACGCATTCAGAATTTTGTATTTTTATCTTGTTGGCAGAGGGAAAAAATAAGTATTGATGTAATCCCACCAAGTAAAGGTTAAGGTACTCAAGTTAGGCTGCTTGCATTCAAGTCCTATTTCTGGTTCTTACTAACCAGCTTTCAACGCAATACTTGAATACCATGAATTTCTGGTTCCTCTTCCCATTGGTGTTCAGTGGATGTTAGGTATTAATGTTATTTTAGGTATACTCTATGAGACTGTATGGTACAGCTGCCCACTATCAGCCTATTGGTGGAACATATATGTTCAGATCAGTTTTTTTCCTCCATGTAACTTTGCATGGTTGCATTTACATTTAAAACAAAAAACACAACTGAAGAATAGGAATGCATGACTGATGTGCATGGAATCAGCTTATTTCGACTGAACAGATGAAAATAAAAAATGACTTAATAGCTAAATTCAAAGATATAAAATGAGTGCATGGTAAATGGAAATTGAGTGGTAAGTATCTCAATTCATATTCACTGAGGGCAAGATGAAGACAAATGAACTCAAATTGCAGCAGAAAGGAATTAAACATTAAGAATCAAACTTCTTAACTTCAGAAAATAGTCTTTTGAAATGTCTGATGCAAAGAAATGACACTGATACCTTAAAACAGTTCATTCTTTTATTAATATTTATTAAGCATATTCTATCAGGCAGGTGCTGGGCTCGGTGCTGCAGATACAGTGATGAACAAGACAGATAGGCACTCTGACTGCATGGCCCATAGTCTAGTTGGAGAGGAAAACTTAAAACAAAGACACAGACAGGCAATTATAAATTGTGACAAGTGACATGAAGGAAGGTACAAGAGTGTGAAATGGGGCACCTGACCAGGCTAGGGGCAGGGCACAGAGAGACCGCCCTGAGGAAGTGACAAGTTCAGATCTGAGGGACAATAGTAACAGATGGGGAGAAAAGAGCACCAGACCCTCTGAACAAGCAACCTGTGCAAAGACTGCAAGGCCGCAGGGGGTTGCTGGCTTCAAGGGATGGAGAAAAGACCAGTGAGGTCAGCAGAGATGGGGAGCTGAGAGGGGTAGCCCTGGGTTCAAGACACAGGCAGGAACCAGACTAAGCAGGTTCTTGAAGCAAGTGAAGGACTTTCATCTTTATATAAAGGGCAATGGAAAGTTGTCAATGTCATTGTCATTTTTTTTAAATGCCTTTTTTACTGGAGTGTAATATGCATGCAAGAAAGCACCCATAGGGGTGAGCTGGGTGAATTTCATTGTGAACACATCAAGCAACCAGTACCAAATCAACAAGCAGAACATTATTAACCCCCCAAAAGTCACCCTTAGCCCTTCCAAGTCCTCAGCATGTTCCAAAGGCAACCCTATCCTGACTGGTAACAACACTAGGTTAATTTTGACCATTTAGAAACTTTATATAAAGGGAGTCATACCATATTTATTCTCTGTGCCTGGCTTCTTTCACTCAACAACATGAGACTCATCCAGATTGCTACTTATAGCCATAAATCACTGTGTGAATAGACCATGATTTAATTATCAGTTTTGCTGTTGTGGACATTTGGGTAGTGTCTGGCTGTTTGGAACAGTACTACAGGTTGAGTATCCCTTATCTGAAATGCTTGGGATCAGGAGTGTTTCCGATTTTTTTTTTTTTCAGATTTTGAAATATTTATATGATACTTACTTGTTCAGCATTCCTAATCTGAAAATCTGAAACGTGAAATGCTCCAATTAGCATTTCCTTTGAGCGTCATGTCAGTGTTCAAAAAGTTTCAAATTTTGGAACGTTTCAGATTTTGAGATTAGGGATGCTCAGACTGTACTATGAGCTACTTGTTGATTCTATTTCACCTGATCTTCGGTGTTTTTCTAAGAGTGGAATTTCTGGGACTTAAGGTATACATATGTTCAGCACTAATGGATCCTGCCAAGCAGTTTTACAAAGTGGCCATTTCAATTTGTACTCCCACCAGCAATGCATGAGAGCTCCCTTAAAAGGTTTGCTATAGCCAGTGATGTGATCAGATCTGTGCTTTTCAAAGACCATATGGCCTCCTGTGAGCAGAATGGGCTAAAGAGGCAGGAGTGCCTGGAAGGACCTGTGGGGGCTGTGATGGTAGGTCAGGCAAGCAGAAGACAGGGAAAGGCCAGGATGGAAAGAAGTACATGGACCCAGGAGAGATGGGTGGGGAAATGGCTGATGGGCTCAGGGAATGTTTTGGGTGGGGGGCATGGTGGGCAGGAGAGGGGAGAGGTGACAAGAATGACCCTGTTCAAGACATAGGCAGGAAACAGATGGGTGGTCTATGATTGGTTAGATGGTAGTGTTTGAACTCTGGAGATGGATCAGAGATGGGGAGGTGTGGATCATAATTCTAGTGCATTAAGAGTACATAATTTGAGGTGCATTAGCTATGTCCAAGTGGGAATCAAGGAAGCAATTAGATACAGAGGTCTGGACTCAGAGTGAAGTCCCAATGGACATGCAAACTGGAGAGTCATTATAGCAATATGGGTGAGTACTATGGTTTGAATGTTTGTGCCTTCCAAAACTCATGTTGAAATTTAATCCCCAATGTGGCAGTATTGAGAGCTGGGGCCTATAAGAGGTGGTTGGATCATGAGTGCTTTGCTTTTATGAGTGGATTAATCTATTCATGAAATAATGAGCTAATGGGTTATCCTGTAAGCGGGACTGGTGGTTTTATAATAGGAAGAGAGACCTGTATGTAGTATATTAGCATGCTCAGCCCTCTCACCATGTGCTACCTTGAGACTCTACAGTGTCCCCAACAGCAAGAAGGCTCTCACCAGATGCTGCCCCTCGACCTTGGACTTTTCAATCTCTGTAACTGTAGGAAATAAATTCCTTTTCTTTATAAATTACTCAGTTTCAGGTATTCTGTTATAGCAATAAAAACCAGACTAAGGCAATGAGGAAATGTCACCTGGGTTGAGAGTAGTGAGAAGAATGTCTCATTTTGTTATTTCTTAGTTTGAGAGCAGTTATTCAAATTAAAGTTTGAATATTTAAAAAATTTTTGCTCTTGATTTTATTTCAAGTTAAAGCTTCTTAGGCATGTGTTTATTTGTAGGGCAGAGATGATAACACTGTTATAGGACCGACAGGTTCGTATGCCCACTGCACAGTAATAGACCCATTACATGGAGACAGCAGGATTTGCAGCAGAAAAAGAGTTAAAGGTCAGTGGGCACCAAGTAGAGAGGGGAGGAGACCCTCCAATCCATCTTCCCAAGTTGTTCTGGGTTGGAGTTTTTAAGGGGATCATGGAGAGCAAGGCAAGGTGGGGGGGGGGTGAAATCATCGGGATGTGGAAACTGTATTCTTGGGTGGGTCAGCTCCTAAGGGATCCCTCAGACCAGCTGAGTCAGCCATTCCCTCAGAATGCAGGACCTGAAGGAATATCTCATAGGAAAAACTTAACGTTTCATGATGTTCAAGGTGTTATCAATAGAGCAGTTAAGGGGAACTGTGATCTAGGGTCTATGTGATTCCAAGACAGTAGGCAGCAAACAACTCTGAGGAAGGGGTTGGAGCCCAGGCTGGCCTCATGATTAGCGCCGAGTGTGCTGCAAGCTGGGTTTATTTTCCTTTCTCCCCTCTCTTTCTTCCCTGACGAATTTTATTTAAAAAAAGTTTATAGGGATGGTTTCAACACCATGCTGTGGGCAAGAGAAGAGAGATACCTTGTTCTCTGCTGCAGGGCACCACAGTCACCAAGAGTGGACTTTCCCTGGCAACAGGGCCTCTGCATTGGTCTGCTTGAGCTGCCATAACCAAAGACCACAAACCGGGTGGCTTAAAGAACAGACACGCATTGTTGCACTGTCGTGGAGGTTAGAAGTCTGAGACCAAGGCGATGGCAAGATTGCAGAGCTCTAGGGAAGGATCTGTTCCAGGCTTCTCTCCTTGGCTTGTAGGTGGCCGTCTTCTCCCTCTGTCTCTTCTCATGGTCTTCCCTCTGTATCTGTATTAGTGTCCAAATTTCTCCTTTTTATTAGAACCCAGTCATATTGGATTAGGGCCCACTCTAATGATCCTGTTTGAACTCTGATTACCTCTGTAAAGACCCTATCCCCAAATAAGTTCCCATTCTGAGGTCCCAGGGGTTAAGGTCTCCAACAGACCTTTTATGGAGGGGGGCACATAATTCAACCCATCCACACTCCCAGCCAGGGTCCCGCTTCAAGACGAGCACTTCCTCTTCCTTCACCATGCACTGGGGCAGGTGACTCTAACTAGTGCCCATTTCGTGTCTCATTCTGGAAACTATGCCGATCAGTCAAAGTTTCCAGAGCCAGTGAAATGTTCTCATCACACGAGGCTTCTGAACACCCAGAAATTTTGAAGCAAGAACATGACAATAATCATCACTCTCATTCACTGTGTGCCATGTCCTTGCAAGTTCACAGCTAGCCCTTACAACAGCCTGCACAGGTCTGATTTTCCACTCTGCTTCATTGATGAGCATCTGAGACGCGGGAGCATAAGGGAACTTGCTTGAGGTCACATGCTTGGTCGGTAGAGACTCAGGGTCTGCGCCCAGGCTTGCCAGCCCATCTCCACTCCTCCCTGCTGTGGGCCCAGGGCACAGCGGCCACAGGAGGACTTGGCTCTTCTTTCAGGCTTTGCGGGCACAGATTAGCTAGACAGAGTAAATATGGGCATAGCGATTGTTAACGGCTAACTTTTGGGTGAATGCACTATTCTTGCCATCTCAGGCTGATTTATTTGCAGCACTGGTAGTCAGGGTCCCTATAGCAAGGGAAGAGATAATCTCTAAATATTCCCTGGAGCCATGAGAAACGGCCAGGTAAAGAAGCATCCTTCTTTCAGCTGGAACACGGCGATGTTTTCTGTCACCTCAAATGAGGTGATCTCCAGAATCCCCTCAATCCTGTCTCATTCATTCAGGCACAAAAAAGGAGAAACGTAGTTGACAGGAATTAGATTTGGAAATCTTTCAGAGAAAATGTGTTTGATTTTTCTGTCCCACACCTCAGCAGTTTATTTCACACTGCGCTTATTGGTCTCTTTGTCTCACTTCTCCTTACATAAATCCTCTGGGTGTCGTTTGAATAATCAAAACGTATTAGATATGAAACATAATGTGTATCATGTTGCATCATGCTACTGTACCTGCATGTTGTAATTTGTACCTTATTTGCTGTCTATGCAATGAAAAGGCTTTCAAGTTTTTAGGTCAGAAAGGTTTAATCACTGTCCCTAGTCAGGTTTGCAGCACAGAGCCAAATGGATGGTGTGCATTTGGACCTGCCCTTGGAAGTCAGGCTGTGATTAGCTAGGGCAAAAGTTTCCTTATCTAGGTGTGAACGTGGAATGGCCTGAAATGTGTGGACAGTCTATTATGTGTTCATCACTGTGCATAATGATGGGCCTGTAGGGATGTCTATGACACGCAGGATACAGGGCTGGGCACCTGGTTGTTGGTATCAGATATGTAGGAGAAGAAGGAATGGGTGGGGGTTGGAGAGAACACAAGCACAAGCATAAGACGGTTCTGCTCCCAAGAGGCTCATTCGTCACTCAGTGCTGTAGACACACGGGAGCTGCCTTAGCACAGAGCGACAGATGCCATGAGACAGGCGCCCACTGCTGATGTGGGCAGAAAGAGATGTGCAAGCGAAGGGCAACAGATTTGGTTGCTGAGATTAATAAGAGGAATCAAGAAATGCTCCCAAGAGAAAAATGATACTTAATCTGGGTCTTGAATAACCATTCATTCATTCATTCATTCTTCTTTCTCTCTATAATATTAATTAGATTTCTGCTAATAAGTACCTAGAAATGTTCTAGGTGTAGGAAATTCAGCAATGAACAAAAAAAACCCAACCCTCCCCCCAGCAACCCCTTGCCGTCGGGAGCTCACATTCCTATAGGTAAGTGGTAGTGGTGTGGAGAGGGGCTGGCCTAGTGAAAGGAACAGTGCCAGCTGTTGCACAGGGACTTGTGATGAGGTTGGTGTGAGTGGGTGGCCATGTGGGGCAGGTCAGAGAGGAGGCATCGAGTTGCCAGGTGCTGGGTCCCACATGAGGAGTCTGTGTGCCAAGCCAAAGAGCTTTCTCCTGAAGGCCTCAAGGGGCCACTATTGGTCTCAGCAAGGTGGGAGGTCATATTGTCAGACTTGTGCTGGGCAGGTGGGTGCAGGTTAGAGGCAGGTGAGGCCACAGGCAGGGAGCCTGAGGCCTGGTGAGAGCTGGTGAGAGAAATTCAAGGTAAGGATGAGGATTTCAGGATGAGTCTCACTTGCTGGCTTCTCTAACTACATGGGGATGGTGCAATTGACTGAGGGTAGGATAGAGGAAAAGGATCAGGTGCAGGAGAAACATGATGCGTTCAGGGTTAGCCACCTTGCTTGTGAATTCTAGAATTCTGCCAGCCTCACCTGAGAGCCCCTCAGAAGTAAGAGGGGCTTCTTACTGTGGAGGAAGTGTCAGAATGCCAACCAAAGATGGCCAGCTAAATAAATGACATGCCTGGTGGTCTGACATGACAAATCCTGAGGGTCCCTTGCCCAGGGTGGGTGGCAGGGGAATGGCAGTTCACATTCAAGATCTAAGTTTTGAGAGATAAGAATCATCTCCTTTGGGGTGGGGCAGCTGCATTCCACACTCGGGACCCGGCCACTCAGTGCGGGGTGATGGTGCAGTTCCCAGGGACTGATGTACCTGCTCTGCAGTGGCAACCTCCGAGTGTGAGAGAACCCAGCTCTTTTTTGGACAATTTTGCATCTGACTCATTGTTGGTATTTGATAACATTTGTTATGCTAATATAACAAATACAATAACAGGAAAATCAGAAAATCCATGTGTACTCAATGTTTAGCTCCCACTTATAAGCGAGAACGTGCAGTATTTGGTTTTCTGTTACTGCATTAATTTGCTTAGGATAATGGCTTCCAGCTCCATCCATGCTGCTACAAAGGAAATGATTTCCTTCTTTTTTTGTGGCTGTGTAGTATACCATGGTGTATTTGTACCACATTTTCTTTATCCAGTCTGCCCATGGATGGGCATTTAGGTTGATTTCATGTCTTTGTTATTGTGAATAGTGCTGCAATGAACATACGCGTGCATGTGACTTTATGATGAAACAATTTATCTTCCTTCGGGTGTATAAGAACAATAGACGCTGGGGCCTACTTGAGATTGGAGGGTGGGAGGAGGGTAAGGATTGAAAAACCACCCATTGGGCACTATACTTGTTACCTGGGTGATGAAATAACCTCTACACCAAACCTTCATGACATGAAATTTACCCATACAACAAATCATACATGGACCTCCGAACCTAAAATAAAAGATGGAAAAAAAAAAAAAGAAAACCAGAATATAATCTGAGTTCTGTCTTTGTGTGATCCGGTTTTACAGGAGGAATTAACCTGGGATGGGGGAAAGAATGCATTTAGTGCTGGAATATATAAGGAGAGGCTTTCCTTTGTCCCCTCCTCTCTTCTCTCTCCCCCAGGATTTTTTGTCCTTCCGTGTTCCACCTGATCCATGGCCAACTGGCTTTAGAAGTTGTTATTAATAGTTCACCATGCTCATTTTCATGAAACAGAGGGAAAGGCAGCCTCTTCATTTGATGTCTAGTTAGCAAACCAGAGGTTTGACACCAGCTGGTCATAACAGACATTTTTAATAAAACTTACCTCCAAGTTAAAATAAAAATGCTGCCTTAGAGATTTTGTCCTGAAACATACGAAAAAATGACAGGTGGGATCTCTCATGCAAAACTTCTGCTAGGGCTAAAGGAAAATATCTGATAAGGTTGTTTGCCCATGGGGGAAGGATTAATTGGATTTTCTGTCTTGCCCCTAGTGTCTGACCCTCTGTTATTATGACAGGACCACAGAAGTTTTGAACGCTGAATCATAGTTTATAGTTTTAGCATTTTTGAGCTATGGAGATAAGAGTGAGGGAAGGAGTGTGATAGGGGAGTGAGTTCCCACAATACTCCGGTGATAGTTATTGTCTGCCTGAAAATGTGAATACATATATTCAAGCCCGATGTAGCCTGTTCGAAGCAACCCAGCCGGGCAATGAAAGCCTCAGCTGAAGATCATAGGATTAAATCCAGGCTCCCCTCTTTCAAGTACCTTCTCATGCTACTGCATTTATGTGGGTAGTCTGGGATTATGTCTGTGGTTTGTTTCACTATTTTCTGGATCACTTCTGAACCAGTCCGTGTGTCAGTCCTGTGGATATGCATTTCATGAATGAGACTCTGAGGAATTTTCTAATAGTGTCTATGGTGGCAGTGGGAAAAGGGGAGGAGGCAGAGAAAGAGGTGGTAGCAAGAGAAAGAACTGTGTGGAGCTCGAGCTAAAAGCAGGAGCTAAGACTGCAAGATCAAATGATTCCCACTCAGTTGTCCTAGTCTCTGTCTTTGTTTTCTGTGGCCATAACAGAACACCATAGATTTGGTAATTTATAAAGAGCAGAAACATATTTCCTCATCATTCTGGAGACTGGGAAGTTCAAGATCAAGGGCTGGCTCAACAGAAGGCCTCTTGCTGCATCATGCCATGGCAGAAGGTGGAAAGGCAGAGAGGGCAAGAGAAAGCAAGCAAGGGGGGGCCAAGTTGTCCTTTTCTAATGAACCCCCTCCCACAGTAACGGCGTTAATCCATTCTAGAGGGTGGTGCCCCCATGACCCAAACACCTCCCATTAGGCCCCACCTCCTAACACTGCCACATTGGGGATCAGATTTCCAACACATTAACTTTGGGGACACATTGAAACCATAGCACTCCCCTATAGCAATGAGTAATATCCGCATAGTGATTTTACTTATTAAATAATATTGACATGGCTTCCTCTTTATGGTTTGCTAGTGGTAAATCTTCAAAACTCTTGGGTAGTTTCTGTGGATATAAATTCCAGGTGAGGTTAGTTGTTAAGGAAAGAATTTCCATGAAAGAAAAACGTGTCTGAGTTTTGAATAAGGAAAGACATACATTGTGGGTAACTGAAATGCCATTTTTTCACTCCTCCTTCCCCCAGGCTCTAAATACCATTGCTGAATTGAATCCGTCCAGTTTGCACGTGTGTCTACAGACATGTGTCTTATGGAATACAAACAATATGTGCTTCTTCTTAAGGTTTTGTTACTTTGTCCCTTGGTGGTAAGTTTTACAAAATGATTTGAAATACTCAGCGCTCAACTCCAAAAGCCAATAAAACAGGAGGAAGACATTGGGTATGATTTGGAAATAAGCAAAACAGAACAGACCTGACTTTCTTTCTCTTTCTTCCTTTCTTCCTTCCTTCCTTTCTTTCTTTCTTTCTTTCTTTCTTTCTTTCTTTCTTTCTTTCTTTCTTTCTTTCTTTCTTTCTTTCCTTCTTTCTTTTCTTTCTTTCTTTTCTTTCCTTTTTTTTTTTTTGAAATGGAGTCTTGCTCTATCACCTAGGCTGGAGTGCAGTGGCGCCATCTCAGCTCACTGTAAGCTCTACCTCCCGAGTTCAAGCGATTCTCCTGCCTCAGCCTCCCGAGTACCTGGGACTATAGGTGTGCATCACCATGCACAGCTAATTTTTGTATTTTTAGTAGATGCAGAATTTCACCATGTTGGCCAGGATGGTCTCGATCTCTTGACCTCGTGATCCACCCACCTCAGCCTCCCAAAGTGCTGGGATTACAGGCGTGAGCCACCGTGCCTGGCCCAGACCTGACTACTTGCTAGTATAATTTTATTTTAAGTGCACGTTATTATTCTGCTTTCTCCAATATCAGACAGCTGGTTCCTTCTTGAAGCAACTCTTAAAGACAGATGGACCAGCCATGTCTTCAAAGTGTTGGCTTCTTCTGTGGCTCCCATTTTCCCGTTTATCCTAGTGCCTTGACTTCTTCACTTGCCAACCTCTGTTCTCCCTGGCACCAAGGAGTTATGTAGCGTTGACTTGTTCTTTTCCATTTGAAGGTGGAAGGATGAACATAAGGTGCCAGACTGGGCTATTTCATCATAGACAGATGGATTTGCTCCATTCATGTAAAGAGTTCCTTTTGTAGAATATCTGAATCCTGGTATATCCTTTAGATGGATGTATAATCCCTATCCCCACACTTTTCTCCCAAACTTGTGAGTTATACCATTAAGTCTACAGGACTGGGCAGTTACGACCTGGACATTAGTCCAGTTTTCTGTATTCTACTACAAAAACTTGTTTCTGTTGTTTAAAACATGGGATTATTTGTAAGTTATCACTCCAGAAATGAACGTAACTGAATTTGCTGAGGATTTAAACTAATTACCTGACATCAAATTGGTTCAAGGAAGTGGGGAAAATAAAGCAAGGATTGACAACTACTATTTGCTTCATTCTAATTTTAGGCCCTTTAACTTTAAAGGTGAATTATTCCTTGTTTTATTCTTGGAGTATTTATTTTATGAATACGTGAATTACAATAACAAAACACTATACCGTTGTGAAAGTGAGTGAGCTACAGCTACACACACCAACATGGATAAATCTCCTATAAATCTCATCATGTCAGCGAGCAAAGCAAGTTCCAGAAGAATGCCCACAGTATGAGACCAATTATTTGGTTTGAAAATATGCAAAGCAGCATTCCATATGTCTTAAGGACACATACATATGAAGGGAAAGGATAAATCCATGATGGGAGTGATAATCCCCTAAAAATAGTTACTTGTGGGGGAAGCAGTGGAGCAGAATGCAATCTGGGAAGGGTACTGAGGGAGTTCTTATGCGATAGTGGACAGGGATGGATTTATGAGTCAAGAAGAGCAACTGCACGGCGTCTGGAAGGCGTGCTGGCCCTGGGCTCTCAGGTGGAGGCTGTTTGCATGATCAGCAGATAGGAAGGTACCATGGATGCAGGAGTGGTCTGAATACCAGAGGAGGCAAGCCAAGTGAGCAAGGGGAGGGAGACGAGAGGTGCCAGGAAAACCCTGTCTCATGAGAAGATGATGATCCTAGAAGGCTTAGAAGAGTGTCCACCCCAGGCCAGGTGCGGTGGCTCACACCTGTAATCCCAGCACTTTGGGAGGCCGAGGGGGGTGGATCATGAGGTCAGGAGCTCCTGGCTAACACGGTGAAACCCCATCTCTACTAAAAATACAAAAACAAAATTAGCCGGGCATGGTGGCGGGCACCTGTAGTCCCAGCTACTCGGTGGCTGAGGTGGGAGAATGGCATGAAGCCGGGAGGTGGAGCTTGCAGTGAGCCAAGATCGTGCCACTGCAGTCCAGCCTGGGCGACAGAGTGAGGCTCTGTCTCCAAAAAAAAAAAAAAAAAAAAAAAGAGTGTCCACCCCAGTGCCCCCATCCACAGGGCTGCTGCTGCTGAGCACCCATGCCCTTGGGTGACCCACTCTCCTGCTCAGGGGCCCAGAGGATGCTTCTTTCTTCTTCCTGGGCACTTTCCCCTGAGTTTTGGTTTAAAAGATAGAATTCCCGATGAAGCCAGCTTGCTGCAGTCCTGTAGCCCCACATCTCCATATGCGATCCTTTGAGGGAGGCTGAGCATCCCTGCATCTCTGAATGGGAGACATGTTTCCACCTTGGCTCCTGGGGGCACTGGGGCCATTTTCCTGGTGTTCTGAGCACTCTTTCTGCAGAAGAAGACACTCTCAGATGGTAGATTTTGTGGATTTCAGTAAGTAGAGTCCTTCAGGAGTCTCTAGGCAGAAAGCACCTGAGTTGACAGCAAGAACTGAGAGTTCTGGGTCTGCCTCTAGATGGCTGTTTGCCTATTCCAGCCTCACTGTCCCCATATCCAGATGGAATGACATGAGCATATGGGCAGGACAAGCCACCTTTGTCCATAAGGCGGGGTACACGCCACCAAGACTAAGACTGAAGCCTAGGCAAGACTTAGAGTATTTGTGGCTTCAGAGAAACATCAAATTGAGAGGAAGATCGAGTGATAGGAAAACTGAAGCCAGAGAAGTAAGTATTTTGTATGTAGAGTATCATTTTCCAATCATCGCTGGTGTGATAAAACAGCAAACGTCACTGCTTATTGAAAGCAACTAGACAGTATGTTTGGTGATTGGATTACAAGTTTTCCTTTTAGATAAGGAGAGATTTAATCTGTTTCTGGACTCTTTAGGAGCACCCTTCCCAGTTTTACAGTTGAGGGACTGGAGACCCTGAGAGGTGAAGGGGCCTGGCTGCACTCACAGTGGAAGTGATCCCACTGGATCTCAGATGTTGAGTTTCTGACACTCAATCTAGAGCTCTTCTTACCACACATGCTTCAGTCTACACAGTTCTCCCCCTCTTTTTTTTTCATCTTCTCATCTACTGCCCTTATTCTCTCTCTCTCTCTCTCTGTAAAACATGTAGGGGCTGTCATAGACGACACTGTGTGAGCGGAAGTTGATGACTTCAATTGTGACAAATATCAGGAGCTCCTCTCAAAAATTACCTTCACAAAAGCCTTTTAGAAAAGCCATGTTGCTGTCACATGTAGCTATAATTTGGGTTGTGCTCAAAAGACTTAAATTGGTTAATACCGAAGGGAGGTGTGGTTTATTCTGTATTTGTTGTTCTAGTACTTCTTGGGTTTGGGGGCTGCTGTTATGAGAAATGGCTTCTCCTAGACTCCAGAATGTGCTTAGAGAGTGTTTTTCTCTTTGAATTGCTAAAAATGTTATTTCCTCTCTCCTGGATTTTTCAAGGTGTGCAATAAGTTGTGTAGTTGCTGCTCTGCTGCACAGAGCTTTAATATAAACTGCGTATTTTCACTCTGTATGTGTGAGTAATCTGTGCCTTCTATGGCTCTGATCGTGGGTAAGCAAAAAACACAGTGACTGCTGAAATATAGGGATGGAAATTTCTTTGTCAGTAAAGATCCTATGAAATCATATACTGAGCATACGTAAAATATGGAATTGTCTCTGCAGTATTGATCGAGCACAAATCCACTTTCGTAAAGCAAAAATAAAGGTCAAACAGAAAAGGCACATCACTGGTTTTTAAAATTTTTTGAATAATAAGTACTTGAAATTCCTTAAAAATGACACTATATATGATTTAACTTAGATAGCTAGAATAGTCAAATACATAGAAACAGAAAGTAGAATGCTTATTGCCAGGGGCTCCAGCCCTGGTGAGGGAGGAATGGGGAGTTAAGTGTAATAGGTGCTGGGTTTTAGAGATGTTGACAAAGTTCTGAAGATAGATGGTGGTGATGGTTGCACAGTAGTGTGTGGGTATACTTGATTCCAATAAACTGTACACTTAAAATGGTTAAAGTGGTAAATTTTATGTAATGTATATTTAATTGCAATAAAAAGGATAAATAAATGATACCATATCCTCGTGATTTCAGATACATCTCTTACTTACTGATCATTCCTCCTGAGAATGTGTTCTGTCTCCATGCTGATTATGTTTCCTGTTCTCTTCCTTTGGGTGCTGTGTTCAGCATTTTTAATTTTTTTAATAGTTAATGCTATGCTCACATTTTCCTCCCGTGACAAAGAGTGGGAATAAGCGTGGCACATGTGTCTCTCACCATCTGTTTGATAGCTGCACAGAAGCCTTAGGAAACTGAGGGATAGACACGCTCCCACTGAGTTACTCAACACTGCTGCTTCCTTGTCCTCTGGCTGAAGGCTAAACCCTGCCTTCTACTGTTTACAACAGGAGTGTCCAATCTTTCGGCTTCCCTGGGCCACACTTGAAGGAGGAGAATTGTCTTGGGCCACACATAAAATACACTAACACTAACAATAGCTGATGAGCTAAAAAAGAAAATTGCAAAAAAAAAATCTCATAATATTTTAAGAAAGTTTACGAATTTGTATTGGGCCACATTCAAAGCCATCCTGGGCTGCATACAGCCTCTGGGTTGGACAAGCTTGGTCTAACATATAGTGTTAATAGGATATTTGAGGTGGAGTAAGACCAATAGATCAGGAGGTAATTGCCACTGAAAACATAGTTAATTACTCACAGATCCTGTGTCATGCCACGTGAGGAAGCACCAGGGTGGGTCAGGAGACAGACGGAGCAGGGAAATAAGGTCAAGAGACTTTATTGTGGTTTCTGCAGGAAGGAATGCTGAGAGAGAGCAAGCCCATTGAGGACTGGGTAGTTTGAATAATTCCAGTGGGCTCTGGGATGTAGGGGCTGCCCCTAGTTGTTTGGTACCTGGTCTGGGGTGATTAGGGCAGGGGATAGTGGTCCTGAGTGTAAGATCCCAATAAGAGGAGTTGTTGGGTGGTGTGGGCGTCACCTGCTGTTCCATTGGCCTTTAGCCAGGGCCTGAGAGCTGGGTCAAGATAACATAATTTAAAAAACGATATTATACCCACCAGACTATTTCTTCCTGGTAGAAAGCACCACAGATCCATATGGACTTGGATGGATCTGTGGACAGATTCCATGTTTGAGAAGTAGCCATAACCTGCGGCCTTCCCCTTTCTACAATGCAGACTCCATCCTCAGTTCAACAGAAGTTTCACAGGTATCTTTACAGGTGTTTCCTGAGTCAGCCGATCAGGTGAATTGTTTGACCCCATTGCCAAGAATATTTCTGGCTGGAGGTTCCGAATACCTCAAAGAGAAAGTCCCTGCTTGAAAGAGTCTCCTGCCCCCCCACCACCTTAGAACAGTTGCTGGCATTGATTGCTCTACCAAGAGAAAAATGCTGATACTTGACAAACTATTGACACACCTGGGAATGGCCACATAATGTTGGATAATGTTAATGCCACAGGTGGAGGACGTGGGTGTCAGGAAGAAGAAGCAGTATATGATTCCACAACAGTAATTTCATTCTTCAAGAAGATTGATTCTATTGGGAATGATTTTTCCCATTAAGCATGAAACACAGAGAATTCTTGGTGGATCCATTCATTTAGCAAGCAGTTTTGTGGAAGACAGCATGTATGACTGCCAAGGGTGTGGGGTGTGGTGTCCAAGTAGTGCCTTCATGGCTCCCTCACTTATAAACTGTGTCCTTGAGTAAACTGCTGAACCCTGTGGTGCCTTGGTGTCCTCACCAATAAAATAGAGGTAAAGATACAAGCTCACTGGTTTCCTGTGAGGACTAAAGAACACCTGTGAAAAGATTATTAACTATGTTAGAGAGGAGGGTGATGATACTAATTGGAAACAAATAAGGTACTAAAACAAGTGAGACGTGATCTTCACTCTGATGGAATCCAGTGGGGGAAATGAATATAAAAACAGGCAATTATAAAAAAAAAAATGGTAAGTCTGCTGATATGGAGTACACTTTCTAGGGGCATCAGGATAGACAAACATAGAAGAAAAATAATATTTGATTTGAGCCTTAATGGATAAATAAATAAATAAATAACGGGGAGAAAGATGATTCCTAGAGTAGGGAGTATCTCATGCAAATGACTGAGAAGCTTGATTAAGTTAATGTTTAAGAATGTGGCAGGCCAGGTATAGTGGCTCATACCTGTAATCCAAGCACTTTGGGAGGCCGACTCAGGTGGATCACCTGTGGTCAGGAGTTCAAGACTAGCCTGGCCAAAATGGCGAAACCCTATCTCTACTAAAAAATACAAAAATTAGCCAGGCATGGTGGCTGGTGCCTGTAGTTCCAGCTACTCAGGAGGTTGAGGTAGGAGAATTGCTTAGGCTCAGGTGGTTGAAGCTGCAGTTAGCTGTGTTCATGTCACTGCACTCCTGCCTGGGTGACACAGCAAGACCACCATCTCAAAAACAAAAACAAAAAACAATGTGGCATATTAAAAATTAAAATCACAATAAAATCAGAGGGTACATTGTGAGAAGTTAATAGCAGGAGATAAGGTTGAAAAAAAAACTTGAACCCAGGTTTAAAAGACCTTGGATCATGTGTATATGTGCGGTTAATAAAATTCGATAGTCTAGAAAGCTTTAAATGCAATATAAAGAGGACTATCTTAGTTGAGCAGGCACTTATTAAAATTCTCAGCATAAAATAACAGAGTATAGGACAGAAAATTATCTTGGAAATTTAATAAAAGGTTATATATTAGTCAGCTCCTGCTTTGATAATGTAGTATAACAAACAGCCCCCAAATCTCAGTTGTTTATATGAAAGCATGTATTTCTTGCTCATGGACTTGTGCGTCATCTTGTGGCTTTGCCATGTGTTTGTGGGTTGGGTCAGATCTACTTTGAGTAATTCTGGGACTGGGCTACCTGCGGGGCATGCTATTCTCATGGTAGACTGGAGGAAGGAAGATAGATAGGAAGACAATCATACAAGGGCATATAAAGCCTCTGGGTGGGCGTGGCATACGTTAGGACCACTGGTGTTCCATTGGCAAATGCAAGTCACCTGGTCACATCCAGAGGCATGGGGAGATGACGCTTACTCTGCCTGTACTGAAGAGAAAGGAGAGAAGGAGGACTTATGAACAATGAATACAATCTACCACTGATGGTCATTAATGGCCTCAAAAATATCACAAAGACATGAAAGCCCTGCAGTGGCTTCCAAGGATCTTCTTATTAGAAATGATATGAGGGATAGAGCAGTTTACCACATACCACAAACGTGTATACCAGCATGTGTATACTAGTTTGGGAATTCGTAGTTTTGAGTATGGAAGTATGGGAAGTGAAAAGAAGGGAGAAGTAGAAGTGTTGGGTGTGGTATTGCATACACTGGCTGGAGACAGGAAGAAACAACGATCTTCTAATATAAACTTTAAAATGGTCCCAGAGTAAAGATATAATAGTGATCAGAGATTTCACTCCATGAACATATGAATGTCTAATTTGTCTCTTGATATTTAACTTTTAACATGAAATATTTCAGAAATATAGAAAGGTACAGAAAAAAACATAGTGGACACCCATGTATAGTAGATGCTAACATTTTACCACATTTGATTCAAGTGAACCTATGAGTTTATTTTTAGTGTTGTTCTTTTTAATTAAGAAAATATTACAGATACACAAATGTTGTATATTCTACTATTCTACTCTGGATTGTCTTTTTTTCCCTCAGTGTTTTTGTCATACAAAAAATTTTAAAACTTTTAAATAAGATGACTTTATCTTTTCCTTCTTTTTTTTCTATTTCTTGTTTAATAAGTTCTTTCCTACTCCCAGGATCATGTGAATGTTTTCTGTATTTTCTTCTAATTTAAAAAGTTTTGTTCTGTAGCTTTACTTTTTAAAAACATTTTTTAAAGTTTCCATCTGGAATTTTTGATGTGTTTGGTGTCAGAGATATAATTTTGTCTTTTTACATATCAATCAGTATCTAATAGCATCATGACCTCTACAGATTTGTGTGTCATCTGTTGTGTGTGTGTGTGTGTGTGTGTGTGTGTGTGTGCATCTTTTTATAAGTCCCCATACTCTTCCATTGATCTGTTTGTTTCTTTCTGAATTAATACCACACTATAATTGCTATAGCATTAGAGGACATTCTGATATGTGGTATGACAGCTCTCCCTCTCCCCATCTTATCACATGCACACACACACACCCACACACACACACACGGACTGAGCATCCTTTGTCTTCAAAGTTGTCATGACTACTAATGGGAATATTTAATCAATTTATATTTAATATAATGATGAATAGGTTTGACTTTAAATCTACTATCTTGCTAGTGGTTTTCTATTTGTCCCATCTGTTTTTTTTTTCTTTTTTGCTCTTTTCTGCCTTCCTTTAGAACTGAGTATTTTTTAGTATTCTATTTTATCTCTTTTTTGAATTATTGTTATCCCACTTTGTTTTATTTTCCTCAGTGGTTGCTTTAGGGTTCATTCTAGGCATCTTTAACTTGTCATAGTTTCCTTTCAAACAATATTATTCCACTTTATGTGTAAGTATATCTAATGAATAATATATTTAAAATTTTTATAATATAAAGCCTCATAAATATTTTATATGTATACTGTCACTCACACACTATATATCACTACATATTTGTATATTTCCCCCATATATGTATCTCCCTCATATATATGTGTGTGTGTATATATATATATATGAGAGAGATAAATAATTTTACAACAGCATACTTACATTTTTCCCTCCTGTCATTTGTGTTACAGTTGTCATACTTTTACTTCCACATATGTTGTAAATTCAGATCAATAAGGTTTTAAAAATTAAATTATTGTTTTCTTTCCTGGGATAAACTCTATTATTCTTTACCACTGTGCTAGATTTTTTTTTTTACTAATTCTTAAAGCATTTTTGCATCCATATTAATAAATGGAATTAACTGTAATTTTGTTTCTTCATACTATCTTTCCCCGTTTTGGAATCAAGGCTGTACCAGTCTCATAAAATAACTGGGAAGTTTTCCATCTTCTTATTCTCCCTGGGCATCATCCTCACCTACCTGAACTACTGCAGTTGCCTCAGAACCGGTTTTCGCCCTCTCATCCTTGTCTTACAGTACACCTTTGCCCCAAATTCATTTCCTACAATGCAGTGATTCTTCTAAAATACGCATCCCTTCATGCTGCTCCCTGGTCTAGAACACGTCACAGTTCATGGCTTATTGTCGTAGCTCAGTAATTCCTTGTTTTCTGGGGTTTCTCTAGCATCATACAGGCTGAAATGGTGTCATGTGATTCCAGAGGCCAAAAGGCTGGTGTGGAGTCACGGCAACTTTCCTACCACTACATTCCCCCTTCCTATGAGTTTCATCGTACCAATGATGGCTGTTCATAGCCGACTGCATCATTTTCCATGAAATTACTGGTGTGGTGTGATCTGGGGTCGCATTCAATGGGAAAGATTTAGGGAATGGTCATGAGAGTGGCCTCCTGGATGCAGTAACCTGACATACCCTACATTTTCCCTGAACTTGGGGTCCGGGGCAGGCTTTTGCAACAGGGGTATGGTATTTAAATAATCAGCATAAAACAGCTGCCCATTTTAAAGCTGTCTCTTCATAGAGGTCAGGACAGAACTCTAGGTATGGCTTCTACTGACAGCTACTCCTTCAGGAGATACAAATTATATGCCGATTCTGACACTTTTGAAAAAGAAACATATCAAATGCAACTTTTTTTTCCCATTTCAGTTTATGCTTTTCACTGTTCTCCCTTCTTCTAAAAATTGTGGTGTTTCATCTTTCTGATGCTCTTCTAGAAAGTGGGCTAAAGCACTAAAATATAATCATTCCAGTTTCATAGAGCCAGACTTGAGGCTTATAGATGTTGTATAAGTGGCTCAGGGACCCAAAATATCTTCTGTGGTGACCCTTGCTTTAAATCTCAGGGCTATGTTTTCTTAGACTGTCTGAGCACCAGTTTCCTCATAGAATGTGGCAGATTGAGGAAGATTGTATCTAAAGCACCAACATAGTGTCTGGCACCATGTCGTTCAGTAAATATTATACCTGTGAAATACATCAAATAGAGGCGCCACTGCTGGGAAGTGAAGTCCTGCCTATAATTGAGTTTAACAATTCCATAGAAGATTTTTTTGAATACTGATGTGCAAGGTGACTGGCCTCATGTCAGATTCTGTGAGTAAAACAAAGGTAATTGAGCAATGGTTCCCACCCTTCTGGCATCACTGACTGTTACGGGATCTAGAAACATACATGATCAGACACGTGAACCCACGGGGCCAACACCACAGCAGGAGTGAAGAAGGAGCTGGAAGGGGAAGGTGGGGATTCAGTTTGCCTGGCAGGGCATGGTAAGACTTCAGAAAGGAAGTGACATTGGAGGTACATCTTGAAGGATGAGTGGGATTTCAACAGACAGAGGCTGTAGGGCTGAGCACTTGAAACAGAGGGAGGACATATTGCAGCCAAACCTCGGTGAACTGACTTGGGTACGCTTCTGCCAGAATAAGAAGAGGTCTTGAATTAATAGTCAAACCTGATATAGCTTCTTTGTCACTGTGTCTTTTCCTTGAAATGAATGGAACTTTTTGATTTTTTATCCTTACTTTTCTCCTCTCTGGGTTACAGTGGCAGGTTGTTTTATCTTCCCCTGATGAATTGACCGGTCCAGAGAGCATTTCAGTTATCATTTATGGAACAAGGCCAAAATATTTCTTTCACACATACAGCGCAGACTAAATCGTCTTTTTCTTTATCTTTTTTTTTTCCTTTAACAACCTCCAGCCTATTTGTGGCATCTGAAAAACTTTGCGGCAGCATTTTACAGCCATTTATTGTAGAGTCTGTTGCTTTGGGCTGCTGTCAGTGCTCTGACACAAAGTTTCCCATCTGATTTTGAGCTGGTCACCGTGTGCTGTTGTAGTAACAGGGCCTCCTGGTGCATTGAAACACCTGGTTTACTTCACACTTGATCACTGGCATGTTCAAGAACAGATAGAGCTTTGTCTGTCATTTGCTCTTTTTGGGTTAGCTTAAGCTAGGGATGTTTTATTTTAGGTTTTTTTCTTAAAATCAGAGAAAATCTAGCTTCAAAACTCAAGTGCTAAAACACCAAAATAGTGTTATAGAGGCACATTCCTGGGGCAGGGGAGAGGTGGCCCTCGATTAAATATATACGAGCAAGTATTTATTGAATCTCATTTTAAGGACATTTGCATTTCATGAGAAGTGAGAGGTGTGGTTGCTGCCCTCAAGAGACTTATAACAGAACTAGGGAGAAAGATACAGCCACATTAGACAAAACAGCAAGATGTAATCAAGTGAACCAAAGCAGTATCACATGTACACAGGAGTGTGAGCAGAGAGTTAAATCTATGTATATTCACTTTAGGTCATTTATAACCTTGACCTCCAGCAAATGTTTAACAATGGTTATAATAATATTTCTTACAATTACACATAATAACCCATCCGTGCAAATGTCTGTGTACTTGGGCCCTAAAAATATAACATACTGATTCTAGGAAGAATGCATATTCTTGTCACTGTTTTCATGTTCAGAAGGAACTCAGGGGTGGGCCAGTTCTGGAGTCCATGCAGCTGGACAGACTCTGGAAGGTGAAGGACCCTTGCCCAGGAAGGGCTGAAATCTGTGCTGGGCAGAGTGAGTGAAGGGAAGGATGTTTTGATTGACCGAAGATTTTCTTTAATTGAACTTGAATGGGATGACAAGAGGAGAAAAACCTGGACATTTACTTCTTGACCATGGAAAGTTTTGAAGTAAACAGAACACCATAAAACAAAATATAATTTGGGAATTGAGGTTGAAAATCAACAAGTAAGGTTGGAAAGAGTTGTTGAATGTTCTACATTCACAAATAACTAGGCCGGGTGTGGTGGCTCATGCCTGTAATCCCAGCACTTTGGGAGGCTGAGGCAGGTGGAACACTTGAGGCCAGGAGCTAGAGACCAGCCTGGCCAACATGGTAAAGTCCCATCTCTACTAAAAATACAAAAAATTACCTGGGCGTGGTGGCGTATGGCTGTAATCCCAGCTACTCAGGAGGCTGAGGTATGAGAATCGCTTGAACCCAGCAGGCAGAGGTTGCAGTGAGCCGAGATGATGCAAGTGCACTCCAGCCTGGGTGACAGAGCAAGACTGTCTAAAGACAAAACAAAACAAAAAATGAAACAAAACAAAAAAAACCCCACAAAAAACAAAAAAAAAAGAAACCAAACCAAAAGAAAACCAAATAGTTAGATGAGATGGAAAGAGTGGAGGACAGATCTTACCAGGAAATCCTCAGAACACTGACTACTCAGTGTGGATTTCCCAACCAGCTAGCTACAGTCTGCTTGTCTCTCCTGAGGGTTTTCAGACTAGTTTCCAAAAAGTCAGGAAAAGGGTAGAATTCCACCTTCCGTTCCCTATTTGGAGCTCTGGGACAGTAGCTGTCACATGATAGTATGCGTCAGAGTCACCTGGTGGGCTTGTTGGAAACACAGGCTGCTGGGTCCCTGAGCTTCTGATTCAGTAGTCTCAGGTAAGGCCTGAGAATGTGCATTTCTAAGACATTCCCAGGAGACACAGATGCTGCTGGTCTGGGGACCACATTCTGAGAACCACTGCCTTTGGGTGGGTGTGGGCCATGACCTCCTTCCAGGTTCTATACATTGGCCCCTTGGCTCATCAAAAGGGTCTTGGTCTATGCTTTGATCTATGCCTTTCCTTCAATGTGGCTGTAAGTTTTACCTAATTAAAATGCTGCATCTGGTTTGGATGATCTGATTAATATGGAGGATGAAATTTATAGCAATAAGTACTCAGAGCTTTGCTCCCTTCCCGATCAAAGCCTGAAGTTTGATTTCTTTATACATATATTTTAATAATAATCATCATTAGTGCTGAAATTAGAGATAAAATGTCCCAATCATCCCAGTGTATTTTTAGTTTCTAAGCATGAGCATTTGATTATTGTTTTCTGGCGAGTCTGTCGTGTAATCCAGTAATTGCAATAAAAGAGAAAAGTACTTTTTGCTAATATGGTACAAATAGTTTTGTCCACAGTGATCAAATACAGAGATTTTCCATTCTATGTTATTTTATACCCCTCTCTACTCCCCTGCTTCCCAAAATAGACACATAATATATACAACTAGATTTATTGGAGCTTCTGATTTATATGAGACTATATAAGTGATTTCAGTGTATCTAGGATAGAGATTTTGTTCCCAGAGTAAAAGCTTCTGAAGCTGTGCAATGCAAATAAAATTATTTTATTTATTATAGCATTAACTTAAGATGCAGTCTTCTGAATAGTCTAGCCTGTGTTTGGGATGTAAATTTCTCTTGCACCCTGCTGCCTTTCACGTTTGCTTTCAGCAGGGACTATAGTTTAATCTTTTTCTTCCTCCTTGCCCCGCAACAGGAGATCGCTATTATCAGCTGACACTGAAGCTCCTAAAAAAATCTTAGCTCAGATTCTCTTTGTCCATCTGCAAGCTAGCGCACATTCCCCGTTCATGGAAAAATACCACTGCGGTGGAGCTTTAAGTCACTGCTGTTCTGCAAGAAATAAATTTTATCACAAGAAGCAGTGGGTGCAGTTAGAAAAAGTCATCTAGATCTAAGGGAAGGCTTCAAATAATTCTCCTAATTGGCCTACGTGGTTCACTAGTAGAAAAACCTTTCGTTTTTGTCCTTCAAAAACAAAACTGAGAGAGTTCCCTGGAGACATTAGTTTGCTAAATGACTTGCCCAAGGTCACCTGGTAATATGACCAAGTGAAGAATTATGGGTTTGTGAACCGTTATATTCGGTATAAGGCCATATTCTTTTGTTACTTTCTTAGGAAGAGAATCAATGGCTTGTTTCAGAAAGCTTTGCAAGGAATCACTTACTCTTCTGCCATGGGAAAAATTGTGTATGCCAGATGCATTTTGTTCATTTTTAAAGAGCTCCTCAATGCTATTGCTGATCTCCTAGGGTAAGAGAAGGACAGGGAGGTTAGACAAGGCAACTGGTAGTCTTCTAATGCCTACAGTAATTAATGATAATATTCAGACTAGTTTCATTCATCAAAGCGTATACATTACAGGGTTTGAAAAATAGGCGTATTTTCTTAGATGCAACAAAATCTACTCTAGCTGCTGCCTCAGGGTGCTCATTACCACCTTTCTAGTCTGCCATGGGTTTGGTTGTGGGGCAGAAGTCAGCCACATACAGAACCTCAATGGCAAGGCAATATGGGAAGTGCAGTCCTTTGCTTTAAGTCTCTAGTGTAGAGAAAACATGTTTTGGGGGTGGAATGGTAGACTGGAGTGGGTTTGAATAAACCAATTGGCAGTAACTGCTGCAGATAGTTCTCAAATGTTATTGCTTCCAATGGGGTGAACTAAGTCATGCAGTGAGCCAATTCTCTTGCAAATGGCTGGCCTGTCTTCAAACGGCTATCAGAGAAACGTCAATTTCAGAATATGGTTAGATACAGTGTATGGGGATAATTAGTAGATGTCATAATGCTATGCAATGGTATTATTCTTATTTAGAAACGAAAATTGAGTAAATTTAATTTTAGAACATTCTAATTTCACCAATTTTGCTTGTCCATAATTTCCTTAAAATTTGCTCTTAGATGACAGCATGGTGCATGGCAAATGCAGGCTTTGCAAACAATTAGAACCAAGTTCATATCTCAGGGTTGCTTCTTCTTAGCTACCTAATTGGGGTATGTCACTAAATCTCATTAATTCTCACTGGAGAGGATGCTGATATTGAAGCGTACTGGGAGCATTCGGCCCATGAAGCTCTGTGCACCTTTAATGAAATCAGGCTTGTATGGCACACTGCAGACACTGACAAATTGTGTGGTAGTTATTCTGCTTCTGACCCAAATGCAATGATGCCATCATCTTCTGATCCCATTTTTTCTTGTTCACTGGCACATTTACTTTCCAAACTGTACTTTATTATTATATATTTAATCATGCAGTGTATTGCTTTAATATTGTTCATAGGTTATCTCCTGTTTATTTTGTTTCTCAGAGTGACTAGAATCTCTCTCTGTCAGAAGAGAGGGTGTGACTTCTTGCTGCCTTTGCCTTGTATCTTATCCTGAATTCTGATTCTAACCTTAGTGCTTGCATCAGTTGTTATGGACCTGGATCAGGGCCACTGTGTATGGTTGTTCAGGTTGAACAGTGAACAAGAGCCCCACGTTTCATGGGATACCAGTCACTTTGAATATTTATTATATTTATCATATACATAATTATTAAACATATTATATTTATTATACATATTAGGTCTTGTCCTCATAAAATCAGTACATTATGGCAACTTTTTAACAAAAAGAAGTGAAGTGTCTTAAAGAGGGGCACTGCCTCTTGACTGGCACAGATGCAACGTATGGGCACCACAGAGGCTAGCAGTGGCCCTGGATAAGTTGATGATCATAGTGGGTGATAGCATAGGTTTTTAAAGTTGTTCACTTATTCATATGACAATTATTTGTTTTTGTGCATATTATGTAACAGGCAGTATTCTAGGTAGTTGGATATACAATTATTATTATAAAAATAATAATCACTATATGGGAGGCCGAGGTGGGCAGATCATCTGATGTCAGGAGTTCAAGATCAGTCTGGCCAACATGATGAAACCCCATCTCTACTAAAAATACAAAAATTAGCCAGGTGTGGTGGTGCATGCTTGTAGTTCCAGCTACTCGGGAGGCTGAGGCAGGAGAATCACTTGAACCCAGCAGAATGAGGTTGCAGTGAGCCAAATTCACGCCACTGCACTCCAGCTTGGGTGACAGAGTGAGATTCTGTCTCAAAAAAAAAACAAAACTCATTATCTTAGTGTCCTGGGGCTGCCATGATAAATTACTACAAAGAGAAATGTATTTTCTCACAGTTTTAGAGGGCAGAAGTCTGAAATCGAGGTGTTGTTAGAGCGGTCCTAGCTCCAGGTTGTAGGCTTTGATTTGTCAGTCCTTGATATGTACACGTTGAGTATCCCTGTCTAAATCTCTGCGATCTGAAATGCTCCAAAGTCTGAAACTTTTTGAACACCAACATGATGCTCAAATAAAGTGCTCATTGGAGCATTTTAAATCTGAAACACTTTGGTTGCAAGCATTTTGAATGAAGGATGCTGAGCCTGTATACATATCATAGCAATCTCTGTCTCCATTGTGTGTTCCCTCCCTGTGTATCACTGTGTCTTTGTATCTCTTCTTCTTCTCCTTCTCCTCTCTCTTCCTCCTCCTCCTCTTCCTCCTCCACCTTTTCTCTCTCTCATTTTTTTTTTTTTGACAGAGTCATACTCTCTTGCCTAGGCTGGAGTGCAGTGGTGCAATCATAGCTCACTGTAGCCTCAAACTCTTGGGCTCAAGTGATCCTCCCACCTCAGCCTCCTAAAGTGCTGGGGTTACAGACATGAGCCATGATGCCTGGCCCATTTTTCTTCTTAGGTGGATACCAGTCATCAGATTTAGAGCCTCCCCTAATCCAGTATGACCTCCTCTTAATGAATGTTATGTGTGAAGACCTCCCTTATTTCCAGATAAGGTCACCCTCACACGTACTAGGAGTTAGGACTTCAACAATTTAACCCATTATAATCAAAGAGCCTATAAGACTGTAGATTTACATGGAGTAAGGCAGGCAAATAAATGAGCAATAAATATATAATATGTGAAAAAATATACCATGTGTGAGTGATTACAAGTGCTAGGAAGAAACATCAACCTCAAGCCATAGGATTGCCTGTGTGGGGAGGCTCTATTCTAGGCTGTGTGGTCAGAGAAGGCCTTTCTGAGAAGGTGCCATTGGAGCAGAGGCCTCCGCAAAAGCAGCAGACGAACAGTGTGGATTTATGGGGAGGGATGTTCCAGGCAGAGGGAGCCTCAAGGCCTTTAGGCCACAGTGTGTTGGGCATCTGTGAGGAGCTGCTAGGAGGCTCAAGTGAAACTTGGAGAGAGGAGGGCTGGGAAAGTGAGAACAGCAAAGAAAAGGGCAACAGATCATGTGGGGTTGAGTATAATAGGAGGTTAGAAACTTGGTGATTAAGATGGGAAACCATTTCAGAGTTTTTAACAGAAGAGTCACGTGATCTGACTCGTGTTTAGAAGATTGTTCTGTTGCTGCAGTCAAGAGACTATAGAGAGTCAGGCTGGGCACAGAAGAAACTGCAAAAGCAGTTACTGCTTTGGAGCAGGAAAGGGGTGGTGTGGTTCAGGCAGCATGGGAGCCAGGACACTGGCCCTGCAGGGAGTGAATTTCAAGGTTAAGTAGCCTGGAAGCTCAGTCCTCTCTCTTCAATGATCCATGCTTCTGTCCTGGTTCTTCATCTATCTTCATCTATGGCACCTTTGAGGTAGGTATTGAGTTGGAGGCTTTGCTCATCCTGTGGGTGCAGGTTTGGCAGCCCAGAAATTATTTTTAGGATTAACAGCTACATGTTGTTCCAGGCCAGACTTCCTCTAACATTACATTTCCCTCAAAAATTCATTGGAGCTCTTCTCTCTCTTCCTTTTTTCTGTCCCCTCCCTTCTCTTCCTTTTCTTTCTTGAACAATTTAGCAATTTAGTCCTAAATATATTAGGTCAGGTAGAGCAAAGTAAGCACTGCTGGAGAGGGGAGCTGCAATGTCACTTCTGTGGGGTCCCTTCTGAAAGTTTGGTGTCTCACTAGTGAAGAAGAGAGGTACAAATAAGGAAAGGGACAAAACTAGAAGGAACCCTGTGTTATGAGAGTAAAACTGGAGTATTGCTGTGAACCTAAATACACAGATAGATACAGGAATATCAAGGCAGTGTGTATATGTACACATGCATTTATATGTCTACTCCCAGCTTTGCCCACTGAGAGAGTCTGGGAGCAATGACATCCCAAGAACAATGAACACCCCTAGAATCCAATTCTTGGCTTCTAAATACTCATTTCCACTAAGAGGAACCAGAGTTCTTTGGAGCAATTGCTGAATACAAGCAGGGAAATTGCAGACTGAGCTAGAGCCCTGTTGATGCTGGAAAACAAGGAAAAGATCAAAAAATGGGGGACATGCAAAAGGATCCCAAAGTCAGCCAGATTGGGTTCCCACTGCCAAACAGGGCATAAATCGAGCATAAAAATAAATAATAATAATATTAGTGGATGATAACCCAGTGAATAAGATAGAAAAATCTTGAGTCCACACATATGCAAATAAACACACTGAAGGTTTGATGAGGAATGGAATTTTTACATAGTTCCAATTACATCCCCTCAGAATACTTATTAAATACAAAGATGAAAAGAATAACTTTACAGTGGAGAAGCCTGACAGAGAGCACCTTAATCAAATTATCAACGTTATCATCAGCAATGGGACAAGTCGAAGTCCTTAGCCACCACAGTAAGCTACAAGAGCACCATGACATCAGATCTGGGATTTCCCAACAAAAATGCAAACCTGAGTTTGATCATGAGTAAATACCAGGGAAACTCAGATGGAGGTGCATTCCACAAAATAACTGGCCTATGGTCTTCAGAAGTGCCAAGGTCAAGACAGTCAAGGAATGGCCAGGCTGTACGCAGTGGCTCATGCCTATTATCCTAGCACTTTGGGAGGCCATGGTGGGAGGATTGCTTGAGCCTGAGAGTTCGAAACCAGCCTGGGCAAGATAGTGAGACCCCCGTCTCCACAAATTTTTTTTTTTAATTAGCCTGGCGTGGTGATGCACACCTGTAGTTCCTGCTGCTTGGGAGGCTGAGGTGGGAGGATTGCTTGAGCCTGGGATGATGAAGTTGCAGTGAGCCATGATTGTGTCACTGCATTCCAGCCTGAGCAACAGAGCCAGATCCTGTCTTAATTTAAAAAATAATAAAGGAATGACTAAAGAACTGTTCCCAACTCAAAGCGACTAAGAGACATGGGAACTGAGTGCAATGTGTGATTCTGAGGGGCATGGGGGACCCTTTTGTTGTTATAAAAGGCATTATCAGGACATTTGGCAACATTTCAATGAAGCCTGAGGATTCGATGGTAGTAGTCTATCATTATTGATTTCCTGATTTTGATGGTTATATTGTGGTTATTTAGGAAAATACCCTCGTTTTTAGGAAATATCCACTAAGATATTCAAGGGTGGAGGAACAGCGGGTCAACAACTCTCAAATGGTCCAGGAAATAGAAAGTTCTTTGTACTATATTTGTAACTTCTCTGTTGCTCTGTGATTGTTTAAAATGAATTCGCTGAGGTCATGGCTTTTTTTTTTTTTTTTTTTTTGAGATGGAGTCTCACTCTGTTGCCCAGGCTGGAGTGTAATGGCACGATCTCAGCTCACCGCAACCTCTGCCTCCCAGGTTCAAGTGATTCTCCTGCCTCAGCCTCCCAAGCAGCTGGGACCACAGACATGCGTTACCACGCCGGGCTAATTTTGTATTTTTAGTAGAGATGGGGTCTCTCCATGTTGGTCAGGCTAGTCTTGAACTCCTGACCTCAGGTGATCTGCCTGCCTTGACCTCCCAAAGTGCTGGGATTACAGGCATGAGTCACCATGCCCGGTCAAGGGCATGGATTTTGATCCATGAATCAGTGAGAGAGACGTAAGTACAATGCCTGATATTTTTGCCTGTTCTTGAGGATAGCATCCCTACTATTACTGAATTCACTCACATGTGTGAGTTTGGGGATCTTAAAATATCCCAGGGGGTGCTTTATGCACGAGGGATATGGATTAAGTCCAGGGTGAATATAGGTGTTTCCCAGTGATAAGGCAGCTGTGTGTGAAAGCAAGGACAAAAACAAAACTAAACTAAACTAAAAAGAAAAGTCAGGCCAGTGTGCTAGATATTTACAGCTGGGTGATTGTGATGGCACTGTCCTTCCTAAAGCTTTGTAACAGATTAAGTAGATTCTCTAAAGCCGTTCAGGTTAGAGGGTGCCTTGCCCTTATTGCTCCACCGTGCTTTTTGGCAGACATTGTGACCATGTTTAGTAATTATATTTGGCTCCCTGAAGGTAAAACAGGAGCTGCGTACGTATTAGGGGAGAAAAAAGGAAGCACAAGAAGAAAGGAAAAAAAAAATTAAGGGGCTTATGTTTTATATCCTCCCAGTCAATCCCATGAGTGAATAACTACATTACAAATTTTGTCTCGATGTGGTTTTTAAGCCTAAAGAATCTTTCTTTTTCTTTCTTTGCTTTCTTTCTTTCTCTTTCTTTTCTTTCTTTTCTTTCTTTCTTTCTCTCTCTCTTTCTTTTTCTTCTCTCTCTCTCTTTCTTTCCCTCCCTCCTCCCTCCCTTCCTTCCTTCCCTCCCTCCCTTCCTTCCTTCCCTCCCTCCTTCCTTCTCTCCTTCCTTCCTTCCTTCCTTCCTCTTTCTTTCTTTCTTTCTTTCTTTCTTTCTTTCTTTCTCTTTCTTTTATTATACTTTAAGTTCTAGGGTACATGTGCACAACGTGCAGGTTTGTTACATATGTATACATGTGCCATGTTGGTGTGCTGCACCCATTAACTCATCATTTACATTAGATATATCTCCTAATGCTATCCCTCCCCACTCCCCCCACCCCACAACAGGCCCCAGTGTGTGATGTTCCCCATCCTGTGTCCAAGTGTTCTCATTGTTCAATTCCCACCTACGAGTGAGAACATGCAGTGTTTGGTTTTCTGTCCTTGTGATAGTTTGCTGAGAATGATGGTTTCCAGCTTCATCCATTTCCCTACAAAGGACATGTGGGCTCCTGAACTTATCCTTTTTTATGGCTGCATAGTATTCCATAGTGTATATGTGCCACATTTGCTTAATCCAGTCTATCATTGATGGATATTTGGGTTGGTTCCAAGTCTGCTATTGTGAATAGTGCCACAATAAACATACGTGTGCATGTGTCTTTATAGTAGCATGATTTATAATCCTTTGGGTATATACCCAGTAATGGGATGGCTGGGTCAAATGGTATTTCTAGTTCTAGATCCTTGAGGAATCGCTACACTGTCTTCCACAATGCTTGAACTAGTTTACAGTCCCACCAACAGTGTAAAAGTGTTCCTATTTCTCCACATCCTCTCCAGTACCTGTTGTTTCCTGACTTTTTAATGATCGCCATTCTAACTGGTATGAGATGGTATCTCATTGCGGTTTTGATTTGCATTTCTCTGATGGTCAGTGATGATGAACATTTTTTCATGTGTCTGTTGGCTGCATAAATGTCTTCTTTTGAGAAGTGTCTGTTCATATCCTTTGCTCACTTTTTGATGGGGTTGTTTGACTTTTTCTTGTAAATTTGTTTAAGTTCTTTGTAGATTCTGGATATTAGCCTTTTGTCAGATGGGTAGATTTTTAAACTTTTCTCCCATTCTGTACGTTGCCTGTTCACTCTGATGGTAGTTTCTTTTGCTGTGTAGAAGCTCTTTAGTTTAATTAGATCCCATTTGTCAACTTTGGCTTTTGTTGCCGTTGCTTTTGGTGTTTTAGTCATGAAGTCCTTGCCCATGCCTGTGTCCTGAATGGTATTGCCTAGGTTTTCTTCTAGGGTTTTTATGGTTTTAGGTCTAACATTTAAGTCTTTAATTCATCTTGAATTAATTTTTGTATAAGGTGTAAGGAAAGGATCCAGTTTCAGCTTTCTACATATGGCTAGCCAGTTTTTCCAGCACCATTTATTAAATAGGGAATCGTTTCCCCATTTCTTGTTTTTGTCAGGTTTGTCAAAGATCAGATGGTTGTAGATGTGTGGTATTATTTCTGAGGGCTCTGTTCTGTTCCATTGGTCTATATCTCTGTTTTGATATCAGTACCATGCTGTTACTGTAGCCTTGTAGTATCATTTGAAGTCAAGTAGTGTGTTGCCTCCAGCTTTGTTCTTTTGGCTTAGGATTGTCTTGGCAATGTGGGCTCCTTTTTGGTTCCATATGCACTTTAAAGTAGTTTTTTCCAGTTCTGTGAAGAAAGTCATTGGTAGCTTGATGCGGATGGCATTGAATCTATAAATTACCTTGGGCAGTATGGCCATTTTCGCGATATTGATTCTTCCTATCCATGAGCATGGAATGTTCTTCCATTTGTTTGTGTCCTCTTTTATTTTGTTGAGCAGTGATTTGTAGTTCTCCTTGAAGAGGTCCTTCACATCCCTTGTAAGTTGTATTCCTAGGTATTTTATTCTCTTTGTAGCAATTGTGAATGGGAGTTCACTCATGATCTGGCTCTCTGTTTGTCTGTTATTGGTGTATGGGAATGCTTGTGATTTTTGCACATTCATTTTGTATCCTAAGACTTTGGTTAAGTTGCTTATCAGCTTAAGCAGATTTTGGGCTGAGATGATGGGGTTTTCTAAATATAAAATCATGTGATCTGTAAAAAGGGACAATTTGACTTCCTCTTTTCCTAGTTGAATACCCTATATTTCTTTCTCCTGCCTGATTGCCCTGGCCAGAAATTCCAACACTATGCTGAATAGGAGTGGTGAGAGAGGGCATCCCTGCCTTGTGCCAGTTTTCAAAGGGAATGCTTCCAGTTTTTGCCCATTCAGTATGATATTGGCTGTGGGTTTGTCATAAATAGCTCTCATTATTTTGAGATACATCCCATCAATATCAAGTTTATTGAGAGTTTTTAGCATGAAGGGCTGTTGAATTTTGTCGAAGGCCTTTTCTGCATCTATTGAGATAATCACGTGGTTTTTCTCTTTGGTTCTGTTTATATGCTGGATTATGTTTATTGATTTGCACATGTTGAACCAGCTTTGCATCCCAGGGATGAAGCCCACTTGATCCTAGTGGACAAGCTTTTTGATGTGCTGCTGGATTCTGTTTGCCAGTATTTTATTGAGGATATTTTTGTCGATGTTCATCAGGGATATTAGTCTAAAATTCTCTTTTTTTTGTCGTGTCTCTGCCAGGCTTTGGTATCAGGATGATGCTGGCCTCATAAAATGAGTTAGGGAGGATTCCTTCTTTTTCTATTGATTGGAATAGTTTCAGAAGGAATGGTAGGTACCAGCTCCTCTTTGTACGTCTCGTAGAATTTGGCTGTGAATCCGTCTGGTCCTGGACTTTTTTTGATTGGTAGGCTATTAATTATTGCCTCAATTTCAGAGCCTGTTATTGGTCTATTCAGGGATTCAACTTCTTCCTGGTTTAGTCTTGGGAGGATGTATGTGTCCAGGAATGTATCCATTTCTTCTAGATTTTCTAGTTTATTTGCATAGAGGTGTTTATAGTATTCTCTGATGGTAGTCTGTATTTCTGTGGGATCGGTGGTGATATCCCCTTTATCATTTTTTATTGCACCTATTTGATTCTTCTCTCTTTTCTTCTTTATTAGTCTTGCTAGCGGTCTATCAATTTTGTTGATCTTTTCAAAAAACCAGCTCTTGGATTCATTGATTTTTTGAAGGGTTTTTTGTCTCTATCTCCTTCAGTTCTTCTCTGATCTTAGTTATCTCTTGCCTTCTGCTAGCTTTTGAATGTGTTTGCTCTTGCTTCTCTAGTTCTTTTAATTGTGATGTTACGGTGTCAATTTTAGAGCTTTCCTGCTTTCTCTTGTGGGCATGTAGTGCTATAAATTTCCCTCTACACACTGCTTTAAATGTGTCCCAGAGATTCTGGTATGTTGTGTCTTTGTTGTCATTGGTTTCAAAGAACATCTTTATTTCTGCCTTCATTTCGTTATGTACTCAGTAGTCATTCAGGGGCAGGTTGTTCAGTTTCTATGTAGTTGAGCGGTTTTGAGTGAGTTTCTTAATCCTGAGCTCTAGTTTGATTGCACTGTGGTCTGAGAGACAGTTTGTTATGATTTCTGTTCTTTTACATTTTCTGAGGAGTGCTTTACTTCCAACTATGTGGTCAATTTTGGAATAAGTGCGATGTGGTGCTGAGAAGAATGTATATTCTGTTGATTTGGGGTGGAGAGTTCTGTAGATGTGTATTAGGTCTGCTTGGTGTGGAGCTGAGTTTAAGTCCTGGATATCCTTGTTAACTTTCTGTCTGGTTGATCTGTCTAATATTGACAGTGGGGTGTTAAAGTCTCCCATTATTATTGTGTGGGAATCTAAGTCTTTTTGTAGGTCTCTAAGGACTTGCTTTATGAATCTGGGTGCTCTTGTATTGTGTGCATATATATTTAGGATAGTTAGCTCTTCTTGTTGAATTGATCCCTTTACCATTAAGTAATGGCCTTCTTTGTCTCTTTTGATCTTTGTTGGTTTAAAGTCTGTTTTATCAGAGACTAGGATTGCAACCCCTGCTTTCTTTTGTTTTCCATTTGCTTGGTAGATTTTCCTCCATCCCTTTATTTTGAGCCTATGTGTGTCTCTGCATGTGAGATGGGTCTCCTGAATATAGCACACTGATGGGTCTTGATTCTTTATCCAATTTGCCAGTCTGTGTCTTTTAATTGGAGCATTTAGCCCATTTACATTTAAGGTTAATATTGTTATATGTCAATTTGATCCTGTCATTACGATGTTTGCTGGTTATTTTGCTCGTTGGTTGATGCAGTTTCTTCCTAGCCTCGATGGTCTTTACAATTTGGCATGTTTTTGCAGTGGCTGGTACTGGTTGTTCCTTTCCATGTTTAGTGCTTCCTTCAGGAGCTCTTTTAGGGCAGGCCTGGTGGTGACAAAATCTCTCAGCATTTGCTTGTCTATAAAGAATTTTATTTCTCCTTTGCTTATGTAGCTTAGTTTGGCTGGATATGAAATTCTGGGTTGAAAATTCTTTTCTTTAAGGATGTTGAATATTGGCCCCCACTCTTCTGGCTTGTAGAGTTTCTGTCGAACGATCCACTGTTAGTCTGAGAGGCTTCCCTTTGTGGGTAACCTGACCTTTCTCTCTGGCTGCTCTTAACATATTTTCCTTCATTTCAGCTTTGGTGAATCTGACAATTATGTGTCTTGGAGTTGCTCTTCTTGAGGATTATCTTTGTGGCGTTCTCTGTATTTCCTGCATTTGAATGTTGGCCTGCCTTGCTAGGTTGGGGATGTTCTCCTGGATAATATCCTGCAGAGTGTTTTCCAACTTGGTTCCTTTCTCCCCATTACTTTCAGGTACACCAATCAGACGTAGACTTGGTCTTTTCACATAGTGCCATATTTCTTGGAGGTTTGTTTGTTTCTTTTTACTCCTTTTCCTCTAAACTTCTCTTATCGCTTCATTTCATTCATTGATCTTCAATCACTGATACCCTTTCTTCCACTTGATCGAATCAGCTACTGACACTTGTGCATGTGTCACATAGTTCTCGTACCATGTTTTTCATCTCCATAAAGTCATTTAAGGTCTTTTCTATGCTGTTTATTCTAGTTAGCCATTCGTCTAATGTTTTTTCAAGGTTTTTAGCTTCTTTGCAATGGGTTCGAACATCCTCCTTTAGCTCGGAGAAGTTTATTATTACCGATCGTTTGAAGCCTTCTTCTCTCAACTTGTCAAAGTCATTCTCCGTCCAGCTTTGTTCCATTGCTGGCAAGGAGCTGTGTTCCTTTGGAGGAGAAGAGACACTCTGATTTTTAGAATTTTCAGCTTTTCTGCTCTGGTTTCTCCCCATCTTTGTGGTTTTATCTACTTTTGGTCTTTGATGATGGTGATGTACAGATGGGGTTTTGGTGTGGATGTCCTTTCTGTTTGTTTGTTTTCCTTCTAACAGTCAGGACCCTCAGCTGCAGGTCTGTTGGAGTTTGCTGGAGGTCCACTCCAGACCCTGTTTACCTGGGTATCACCAGCAGAGGCTGCAGAACAGCAAATATTGCAGAACAGCAAATATTGCTGCCTGGTTCTTCCTCTGGAAGCTTCGTCTCAGAGGGGCACCTGGCCATATGGGGTGTCAGTCTGCCCCTACTGGGAGGTGCCTCCCAGTTAGGCTACTTGGCAGTCAGGGACCCACTTGAGGAGGCAGTCTGTCTGTTCTCAGATCTTAAACTGCATGCTGGGAGAACCACCACTCTCTTCAAAGCTGTCAGACAGGGACATTTAAGTCTGCAGCTTGCTCTTCTTTCTTTCTTTCTTTCTTTCTTTCTTTCTTTCTTTCTTTCTTTCTTTCTTTCTTTCTTTCTTTTTCTTTCCTTGCTTCCTTCCTTTCTTCTTCTTTTTCTTCTTCTCCTCCTCCTCCTTCTTTCCTTCCTTCCTTCCTTCCACCCCCGTTTCTGTCTTTCTTCCTTTCTTTCTGTTCTTCTTTTGATAGGATCTTGCTGTCACCCAAGCTTGAGTGCAGTGGTTCCATCTTGGCTTACTGCAGCCTCCACCTCCCAGGCTCAAGTGATCCTCCCTCCTCAGCCACCCAAGTAGCTGGGACCACAGGCACACACCACTATGCCCAGCTAATTTTTTACAGTATTTTTTATAGAGATGGGGTTTCACTGTGTTGCCCAGGCTAGTCTCAAACTCCTGAGCTCAAGAGATCCACCAGCCTCAGCTTCCCAAAAAAGCATCTTGTTTTTACTCGCATGCTTTGTCCCTCTGCCAGGACAGTAGCTGTAATCCCATCTTTGCCATCTAGCTTGCCCCCAGTGGCTGGTGGGGCACAAGTTTTATTTCTTGATAAGGCTGTCATATTATGGCTAATGCTTATAAATGCTTCATGTTGGGGTAGAGTGGAAATTGACACTTTCAGCCATGAAGACCTCAAATTTTGGGACTAGCTAGCCTGTATTGCAGGCTTTGGTGAAGCCAAGGGCGTCTCCTGGAAGGGCTGTATTCCTTTCCTTCTGTACATTTCCTTCTTTCCCTGATTGTAGCAGGATAAGGGTGAGGCAGCCGAGGTGCCTGGGCTGCACCATTTAAGCAGGCGTCACTCTCAGGGTTGTGGAAATGCGGGACAGGCACCTGAGGGTGATAGCCTCTTTACAAGTGTCTTGGGGACCTCTCGTGCCTTGCCCTGGTTCTGGGCCTGCAGCCTGGCCAGCAGTCATCTGAGTTTACTTCTCATTTTCATGTCAAGAAGGAACTGCAGATGCCAATGCTCTGACTCTTTCCTCTGATTTCCCCAGTATCACAGCTTCCTTTGACAAGTAGTATTTCCGGGTTGCAGTAGGTGACCGTTTCCTCACATTTTTGCCAACATGCAAGAAACCAGATTTCCAGCCAGCAACATTATTGTCCACATGCCGAGTGTCCATCTCCTCTCCTCAGCCATTTTTCCATCTTGGTTCTGTTACTTGTGACATTCTGTTTCCGTGTGAGAGATCCTGCATCAGTTAGGAATTTCATACAGCTCTAAGTGACAGAAGCCCCCACCCAGTGGCTTCAACAATTTGAGGATTTATTTTTCTCTTGCAACAAGGAAGGAGTTCTGGAGGGAGACAGCCCAGGGCTGGCATGGCGAGTCCCTGAGACCCTGGGTCCTTTGATCTTTCCACTCCGCCCATCCCTAGCACAGTTTGCCGCCTTCTGTTTACAATACGGCTGCCCCACCTGTGACATTACATCTGTGTTCCAGGCAGAGTGAATTCACGAGGAAAAGGTGCATAGGAGATGAATGTATTTCTCTAGTAAGTAGCTTTCTCAGAAGCTCAACCAGTAGCTCACACTTACATCCCATTGGATACTGTTGTGTCCCCTGGAAACCCTGTCTGCAAGCGGAGCTGAAATCTAGTTGTTTTTGTTTTATTTTTATTTATTTAATTTTATCTAAGTACACGGGGTAGGATAAAAGCTTGGCTATGATGGAGAGAATATCTATTGGGTGGTTAACTGGTCATCCTTGTCACAGCTCTGCTCGGCTTCTTTTGCAAACCGGTCACACCATGTGGGAAGGAAAATAGCCATTGAGGTAGCTTTTGGTGGCCTCCAACTTTTATCCTTTGCCTTATTGTCCCCACCACAGGAAGAAATATTTTTCTTTTAGTTCCTGTCTGTCAGTCTCAGGGGAGACTCTGACTGGCTCAGCTTGGGTGGCACATCCGTCCCCGTGATTATACAGGGACACGAGCAAATGCTTGTCATCTCCAACTTATCATGTGGAGGGAAAGGGATGGCTTCCCCCAGGGTGGGACAGTAATGGAGAAAAACAGCTTGCACTGTAAGTCCACGACATTTCTGTCCTACATTTTGCAAGATGTGATCAATATGTATTGGCAAAGACAAAATGAGAGGCTACTTTTGGTGGAGAGCAAATGATAGTCAAGACAGGAATGTGAGAATTGTGTATACTGTCCTGTACCAGTCAGGAGCCTAGCTTGGCTGCAGAAGAGGGCTAATAAAGAATGAAATAGGTGAGGCAACAAGGAGTTGGTAGTTGAAAAGCATTTATGTTCTTTCTAGTGAGGTTGTTTTGTTTAGATTCTTCTGCCTAAAGAGGAAATGTGTTACGCTGACCAACTATGCGCCTCCAGCCATCTCTTCTACTTGTTTTTGACGTTATAGTTGTTAGCATTGGGTTACTTTTGACAGAAAACCCCAAATAATATTTGTTTAAAATATACCTGAGTTTTTTTTTCTCTCATATGAAAGCACAGATAGGCAGTCCAGGATTGGCTTGGTGCCTCATGGTTTCAGGGGATTGTGCAGCTTCTATCTTTCTACTTCCTGTGTGGCTTCAACTTCATGGCTTATGGAAACATCACACTCTAGGTGGCAGGATGAAAGCAGGGACAAAGCATAAGGGACATCTGAATGTTGTCCCTTAAGGAAGGTCCCCAGAAGCTGCCCAATGACACTCCCACTCATGGGTCTTTGGCCAGGGCCACGGCTAGCTGCAGAGGAGGCCAACAGATGTATTCTGGGAAGCTCGGCTCAAAACACTATCTTGTGGGCCAGGCGCAGTGGCTCACGCCTATAATCCCAGCACTTTGGGAGGCTGAGGTGGGCGGATCACCTGAGGTTTGAGACCAGCCTGGCCAACATGGTGAAACCCCGTCTCTACTAAAAGTACAAAAAAATAGCCAGGCGTGGTGGCAGGCACCTGTAATCGCAGCTACTTGGGAGGCTGAGGCAGGAGAATCGCTTGAACCTGGGAGGTGGATGTTGCAGTGAGCTGAGATCACACTGTTGCACTCCAGCCTGGACAACAAGAGTGAAACTCCATCTTAGAAAACAAAAACAAAAATAAAAACAAAACCCCACTATTATGTGGATGCAGAAGAGAAGGGATATTGGAGGGTGTCAGCAGGCTCTGGCCAGGCTCAGTCCTCTGCTCAGCCTTCACAGCCAGAGATCATGGGGATAACAAGGTCGTGGATCTCAGTGGACCTGACTGACATGAATCTGTATTTACAGGAGCCCAAGGGTATTTCTTGCAGGGGGTGGATTATACAGCTGAAAGCAGCTGCTTTTACAGGATTACGAAGAGTAGCTCTTTTCCACGAAACAATTTAGAATATACACAGTGAAGGAAGTCTCACTAACTTCCTTTAAGAAAGTTGAGGTGAGAAAGAGTAGACAGTTTGTAAATGGAAGTTACCTAACTGACTTCTGCAACTTGGGGGGCTTTGTAGCATCAACGGGTCAGAATTTCTTAGAGGCATTCTTACTTTTTAGGTCTCAAATCTCTGTCATTTTTCCCTTACGGTATTTGCACAGTGCAGCCTGCCTTCTGTGACCTACAGAAGCACATTGCATTTAACCTGAGGCTTATTTGATATTACACTTTTTTTCTTTCCTTCAAATATCCACAATCTAAATTGTGTTCAGAAAGTTCCGAAGAGCTGTAATCCCAGCACTTTGGGAGGCCGAGGCGGGCGGATCACGAGGTCAGGAGATCGAGACCATCCCGGCTAAAGCGGTGAAACCCCGTCTCTACTAAAAATACAAAAAAATTAGCCGGGCGTAGTGGCGGGCGCCTGTAGTCCCAGCTACTCGGGAGGCTGAGGCAGGAGAATGGCGTGAACCCGGGAGGCGGAGCTTGCAGTGAGCCGAGATCCCGCCACTGCACTCCAGCCTGGGCGACAGAGCGAGACTCCGTCTCAAAAAAAAAAAAAAAAAAAGAAAGTTCCGAAGAGTTGCCAGGGCTCTATTTAATCCATTGCTCTTCTTAGCAATGCAAATTCTGTGCACAATGAGTTTATTCTCCTTGAGAAGATAAATTCAGTTTGGCTCCAGTGGCTAAACTTTGTTGGACAAGTTTATTCCTGTGTGACACCTACCTGGCCAAGCACTGTCATTTGGATGGGTCTTTGGGCAGGTAAGTTTCTGTGCACCTAGAAACCTTCCCTGCTGGGATCTTGTCCCTTGAGCTCCTCCTCTCCAGTTATAAACTCTGTTGGCATCTTTATAGGATTTACTTTTTATGTGGATTCCATTGTCTCCAAAATGCCCTTTCTTAGTAACTAGTTGGGCCATCTACACCCTCTTTCGGGGTACGACATAGAAATGGAAATGGAAAATTTGTAAGGAATTATCATAATGTTAAAATACAGATACCTTGTCATTAAACCATTAAAAACAAAATTTTAAAAACCTTAAGTGTTGGAAATATTAGGATTCCAATGCTCCTTCCACTTCCTGAAGGACTCATTTCTCTAACATACTTGCTGAACAATCCTCCTACCTTTTCCCTGCGGCATTACTAAATAATTCAGATTGTTTGAAAGGCATTCTCTTCTATCGAGATGCAATCAAATTTGAGGAGTGTATTTCATTCTCGCCGAATGCATTATATCTTACTTTCCATAAAGAGAATCCAGGTATGTGCTATTGCCTTATGCCTTGAATAATATGAAGCGAAGCGATCACTCTTATATTTGGGGAGTGTTTTAGAGTCTTCAGATGCTTTATGTAGTATCAATGGCTCCAAATATAATAATGTACAATTAAGAATCACATAGGCAGGCATTTTTATAATGAGGAAAAGTGAAGTTAGGAGAGCTATGTTCACTTTCCAAGGCTACATAGAACGAGTGAGCGCCAGGACTGACAGTTCCTTCCTGCTCTGGATCTTGTGGGCTGTCTCCTCCAGCACACTGCATGCTAGAGGAAGCCAGCGATGGGGCAGGAGTGGGGCGAGCATGGCAGCTGACCCCAAGATGGGCAGAGAGCCTGCCCCTCACTGTTCTTCCCCGCCTTAAAGGACATAATCTAACCTCTGGACATGGACTATAATCTAGCCTCTTCTTTATTACTTAGGGTAAATAGTACGTCTACTGATTATTAATTAAATAACATTCTTCACCTGTACATGTTATCACACTTTAGTTCTTAGACTGCTTTCATATTCAACGTGGAGATCTGGAAAGGCAACTTGACTATCTTCATTTTATGATTGAAGAAGCTGAGGTTGAGGGAGGCTAAATGGCTTGTAGTTACACTACAAACACTAAAACAGCAAAAATTAGCATTGGAACTAGAACATCTGATGCATGTTCATGACTTTGTCCTCACAGTCATATCCTCAGGGTCTGTGGAGTGGTGTGTGGCTGTGGCCCCTTAGTTAGAAGGCCGCAGGGACTGTGGTGTTTTAGGTTGTGCCGGCTCTTCGTCATTTTCCCTTTTCTCTCCTGTCCCTTCCTTCCAGGCTATGAGCTATATTTGTGCCAGCAAGCAGTGTTTCTCTCTGTTTCAGCTTTTTCCTACTTTAATTTGTTTGTTTTCATCTGTTAGGATCTTAGAGATGAGAGAACCAAGATGATTTGGAATTTCATGTGAGATTACAGAGGATAGACTCAGAGCTGAATGGTAGCCTATCAATAACGTTCATACATACACTCTCTGACCTCTTTGTTGGTCTCCAAGAAGCCTTTCAGATTTAGTTCCTGGTTGTGGGTTGTGTTTGAGGTAGGAGGACCTTGTTGATGGTTGCATTCCAATTAAATGAGATGGCAGCCCTCACGGTGCCTGTGTGCATACAACATGTCTGTGTTAGATGTGCATTTGCAAGTAACTGGTTATAGAACATTATTTTGGAATACAACACTTGTGAAATCTGAAGATGGTTTTAAACTTTGTATTTCACCTGCAATTATCTTGTAGTACTCTCAGTTAGGAGAAAAATATCTCTTTTGCTCTGAGGATTCCTCAGTATTTTTAGTGACTCTTTGCATGCTTGCAAGGGCTGTGAGAACAAGCCCAGCAGGAAGGAAGAGACATGGGGGGAAGGAAGGAACGTGAGGGAAGTGAGAAGAAAACAAAGGCAAAGTTTCATACCTGGAAGGCTTCGTGCACCAGCGCCCACCTCCGGAAACCACAGTTGCAAATATTCTTTTGTGACCTAATTTTGGTTCTAGGTTTCCTTTCCTCTGTATGTGTTTGCTACATTCCATTCCCTATGCAATAGAGTTTTTCTGTAAAGAAGTTTCCAAGTATAACCTTCCATGAAGCTCCTCAATTTTAAGAATTTATAATTTTCCAGTCCTAGTGCTTAACTCATCCATCATTTGTTTTCCCTCATATTTTACCTGTTTGGTTGCACTCAAAGTCTTCGTTGATGGATGAAACCTGATGGTTTTTAAGAAGCAGAAAATACCAGTTTTGTCCTCACTGATTGATTTTTCTTGACAGATCACGAGTATAATTTATACCAGCTCAGTGGCACTAATCTTGTTTTGTTGTTGTTCTTAAAACAGCTTTGACAATAAGCTGCTACTCTGACTTTGATTCTTAAGTCAGCATTAATGAAACACCATTCATTTGTGTTATCAGCTGTAATAGTCAAAAACAGGTTTAAGACTTTACCATGCTTGCTTTCAAGTTTTGGGTGGATTTCTTTTTCCTCCAATGCTTAAAAGGTTTAGTAAGTGAATGTCAGGTCAAATGGGCGTAGCTGAGTTTCTCCCAGGCACGCTGGCTTTCCTGTGGATGTTTTTGTCACAGCAGTCTAAGTGTATGTCTTTCTGGCCCGGTCAGGGAACTTTGCTGTGGGGATTTGGTTTAAATTCATGTTTAATCTCCTAATTTTATTTTTGTGGCTATAGTGCCTCACCGAGTATACTGAGGCTGAGACTGGACAGAAAGACCTTTTTTCTGATAAGCTCTTAATCTGTATCAGGCTCAGCCAAAATGAGTTCTGTTAGGGCTGCTATTTTTAGCTATGTGTAATAGCTATTGTGGTCTCACAATACACTTGTTTATACACAGAATATGGTTTTATGCACAGAATTTTGTGTATTAAAATAATAGGCAAAATGATTACAAATAATTTCAGGTGTGCCTTGATACAAATCAGATCTGTATACTTGTGTTTTCCTGTTGACATCTGTCATTTGCAGTCAGTGGCTTAAATTAAAATTTTTTGGTCTTAGGGAAAATCATGTGAGGGTTTCCCTGTTGCCTCTCTCGGGCAGAGCTTCTCAGCCTTGACACTATTGACGTTTTAGACCAGACACCTCTTTGCTGTAGGGGGTGTCCCGCGCATCGTAAGAGGTTTAGCAGCACCCAGGGCTCTACGTACTAGATGCTAGTGCCTCCCCTCCCCCACTCTCAGTTGTGACAATCAAAAATGTCTCCAGACCTTGCCAGATGTCCCTTGGGGATATAGGGCTGCCAGAGTTAACAAATGAAAACACAGCGTGCCTAGTTAAATTTGAATTTCAGATAAACCATACAAATTGTTTTTATTGTGGTAAAATGCACAGAATATAAGACTTACCATTTTAGCCATTTTTAAGTGGCTAAAATTTGTAAGTGGTCAGTGTCATTAAGGACATTCACATTGTTGTGCAAACATCATCACCATTCATCTCCAGAACTTTCTTATCTTTGCTAGCTGAAACTCTGTCCCCATTAAACACTAAGTCCCCATCCTCCCCTCTCCCAGCCCCTGGCAACCTCCGTTCTCCTTTCTGGCTCTATGCATTTGACTCTTCTGGGTATCTCATGTAAGTAGAATCATACAGTATTTGCCCTTTTGTGTCTGTCTTATTTCACTTAGTGTAACGTCCTTAAGGTTTGTCTGTGTTGCAGCGCATGTCAGAACTTCCTTCCTTCTTAAGGCTGAATAACATTCCACTGTGTGAATGAACCACATCTCCTTCATCCGTTCATCCATAGATGGACATTTGGGTTGCTTCCCGCATTTGGCTATTGTGAACGATGCTGCTATGACCACTGGTGCATAGGAATAATTTTTTAGTGTAAATATGTCCCATGTAATTTTAGTACATACTTTTATACTAAAAAATTATTCATTGTTTATCTGATGTTCAAGTTAACTGGGCAAGTTGTGTTTTATTTTATTGGGTAATGCTACCTGGTTGAGAACCACTGCCCTAGGACTGAACTGCTATTTTTTTTTTTTTTTTTTTGAGATGGAGTCTTACTCTGTCACCCAGGCTGGAGTGCAGTGGCGTGATCTCGGCTCACTGCAGCCTCCACCTCCTGGGTTCAAGCGATTCCCCTGCCTCAGCCTCCCAAGTAGCTGGGACTACAGGCATGCGCCACCAAGCCTGGCTAATTTTTTTTTTTTTTTGTATTTTAGTAGAGACGGGGTTTCACCATGTGGGCCAGGGTAGTCTCAATCTCCTGACCTCGTGATCTGCCCGCCTCGGCCTCCCAAAGTGCTGGGATTATAGGCGTGAGCCACTGCACCCGGCCAGCTGGACTGCTTTCTTTGCTTGGGCACTGGCTCAGGGCTCCAAGGACCGTGGTCATACCTTCCCATGCAACTTACATATGACTTCCAAGACTTCCAGCACAGTGAAGAGCACATGGAAAAATGTGGGCACCATAACATCTACATACCCTAAATGTGTCAGTCAGCTTCAATTTGTTCTCAGTTTGGGAAGGGTGATAGAGATACTGACCCTTCCTTTTGACCTGCCTCTTTTCCATTTTATTCTGGTAAATTCACGCTTATTACAGCACTTACAGAGCAAATCATATTATGATTATAATTTTATGATATCATACTTTTATATTATGAATATATTTATAATATGTGAAATGATTGGATTCTTCAAAAAGTCAACTTAAAGAAACAAGTTGGGATCCTCACTGGCTACTTGTGTCCTATTTCAAATTATTTCTATTTGCCCTTTCTGCTCCTCTCCCCAGCTTTATTGAGGTATGCTGGACAAATAAAAATTTTAAGTATTTACAGTATAAAATGTGATGATTTGATGTATGCATATGTTGTGTAATGATTACCACAATCCAGCTAACTAACATGTCTATCACCTCACTAGTTACCTTTTTTTTTTTTTTTTTTTGGAGTGTGATGAGAACCCTTGAGATCTACTCTTTGGGCAGTTTTCAAGTATATGACACATTGTTATTACATAGAGTCACCATGCTCTGCAATAGATCTCCAGAATTTATTCATCTTGCATAACTGAAACTTTTTACCCTTTGATCACCATCTGCCTTTTTGCTTTTTCTATCACTCAGAGAAAGCCAGTTAGTGGATAATTTCTACATGATTGAGGTTAATAGAATGCGGCCACCTAAAACTGTCCCTGAGGCTTGGGAATTTGGGTGAATCCTGATTCTGCCATGCACTTTGGGCAAGTCACATACCTTCAGTCTCAGTTTCCTCATCCGTGACTAAAGAATAGCATGAATGCCTTCTCCATGGAATCACCATGAGAGGTAAAGGAAATATTGCACTTACAGCTCCTGCTATGAAATATCTAGCATCTGACAGACATGCACCTTGTCTTAGATGTCGAGCTGCAGAGCAGTTTTCATGGCAGAAAGAGAGCAATAGTTGCTAACACGTATGAACTGCTTACTGTGTTCCAGGTACTAGTCTCCAGTTTTTACTTGTATTGTTGCATTTAATCCTCACACTGAGCCCACGAAGCTTGTCCTAACATTATTCCCTTTCACAGATGAAGAATGTGAGGCACAGATAAGGTACATTCATCCAAGGGGGTATGTCTGGCAAGCAGCAGAGCAGGGCTTGGCATTGGGACATCCTGATTCCAGTGGGAATAGTTGTCCTAACCACTTGGCTAGATGGCTGCCTGTGGGGTGGTGCTTCTGGATGGAACACAGGGTGCACAGTGATGCATTTGGGAATCACTGAGGCAGGAGAGTGACCCCACCCAGCCCTCCAGGCCAGCCAGGATAACCCTGGAGGGCTGGAGGGGGACACGTCCTGGTGAGTGCACCCTCCCTCTGGGTTCCAGGTGAGATACCCTTCCAGCTGGCCTTTTGAGCCCAGCTCCCCCAGGAAGGAAGGATGCTCTCCAGCAGGCGCTCCTCAGAGCACCTTCTGTGTTTTCACCTCACTTAGAAAATTCAACCTCTAAACATCATTGAGTGGCACTGAGAACTAAAGCCACAAACTCCCAACTTGAGAAAATGCAATATTTATACATTTAAAACAGCCAAAATGGTTTTAACATACCTATACTGATTCAAAAAAGAAGTCTGAGCCAGGCGTGGTGGCTCACGCCTGCAATCCCAGCACTGTGGGAGGCCGAGGCGGGCAGATCATGAGGTCAGGACATTAAGACCATCCTGGCTAACATGGTGAAACCCCGTCTCTACTAAAAACACACACACAAAAAAAAAGTTAGCTGGGTGTGGTGGCATGCGTCTGTAATCCCAGCTACTCTGGAGGCTGAGGCAGGAGAATCGTTTGAACTGGGGAGGCAGAGGTTGCAGTGAGTCAAGATCACGCCACTGCACTCCAGCCTACGCAACAGAGCAAGACTCTGTCTCAAAAACAAAACAAAAAAAACCAAAAAAAAAAACAAAAAGAAAAAGAAATCCGTTTTCGCTGAGCCCTCCTGGCAGGTAGTAAAATCTTGGACTTGAGCTCCCTGGGGCCCTGTCCAGTTGCCCTCAGTGCCCTCCCTTCCAGCTTACCCATTTACCAGGTGTTCGAGGCTGCTGCCAGTTTAAATTTTGTTTCAAAAACTGGCCTTCTCTTTCTTTTTATTCTGCAACATTTTGCCTTGGGGCCTAGAAAGGAATCCTTAGTCACTGATTGCCGTAGGCGGATATTACCTCACCCAGTATGGGCTTCCACGCTAAAGACCTCTCACAAACACTTGCACACTTTCAGACTCACCCTGCACAAGGCACGCTGACGCTGTTTCCTAGGGCTTATTCCCAAGAACACGTCTCTGCTGAGACTTGGTTTTTGTTAGGATGTGTGTGATTCCATGTGTTCCATCATGCAGAGGAGATGCTGAAAGTTAGCGCTGTGGCTTTCAAGATCCTCCTGTGGCGCCTTTGTATATGGCATAGAATGGTGCCAACTGGAGTAGCCTGAGAACCAGAAACAAGAATTCTGCTTCTGAACAGCTTCGTTTTTGGGCCAGAGAATTGTTTCCACCAGAGGAGGCGTGATGGGAGCTTAGGGGCTATGTGCTCGGTTTCTGAAGTTGTACAACGGAGCATTCATTTGCATTCATTTGACAAGTCCTGCTGTGTTCCTTTACTTGTTCTCTTCTGTATTATGGGCTTAAGGGTCGCTTATTTCAACATCGCTATATTTTCCCTGAAAGCTCAGTAATGATTGAATCACAGAATTTAAAGAGCTTGTCGTATAAATACATCTAAAGTGAAAAAGATGAACTTTTTCCCCAGTGAATACAGGCAACCATCAATCAAAGGAATGCATCCTGGAAAAGAAAGGCACAGGGTAAAGCCTGCCTCCTTTGCGGGTCCCATCTGTTCTTGGGAGGACAGTCCCCATGTATTGCTCCTGGGCCCTTTGTGGCCGAGCACGAACAGCTGTACATACAAAGGAGGCTGTGTGTTTGTTCATGATGTTGGAACCGGAAGTGGAAGGGGCTTTCTTGTCAAAGAAGGCACATATGAGTGCCATAGTTACGGGACAAAAATATTTCTCCTGGAAAATCTATTGAAGCCTTTGTGCGATGTTCAGCAGAGTGTGTTGGGGGTGGGTGTGAATGTATCTGTGTGGGTGAAATGAGGATAATGTGGTCATGTGAACAATTCAAGGCAAGAAAAGATCCGGTGATACTGAGAATCCTGATTCTCCTTTAGAGATAGGAGTTCTCTGGCTATTCTGAAGAGTGAAGTTACTGCCCATGATGTTGCAACATATGGACATTTGCAACAATTTTTTTTTTTTTTTTGAGATGGAGTCTCACTCTGTCGCCCAGGCTGGAGTGCAGTGGCATGATCTCTGCTCACTGCAACCTCCACCTCCCGGGTTCACGCCATTCTCCTGCCTCAGCCTCCTGAGTAGCTGGGATTACAGGCGCCTGCCACCATGCCTGGCTAATTTTTTGTATTTTTAGTAGAGACGGGGTTTCACCATGTTAGCCAGGCTGGTCTCGATCTCCTGACCTCGTGATCTGCCTGCCTTGGCCTCCCAAAGTGCTGGGATTACAGGCGTGAGTCACTGCGCCCGGCCTTTTTTTTTTTTTTTTTAAATGATTCTTTTGTTCCAGTTATTGACCTAGCACCAGCATTTGTCTTATGGATAAGGTGAGGGCAAAATTGCACTGGGTGTGGCAAGGTGATTCTGCACTTAGAGGTTCGTGTTTATGGTGCTACTGAGGGACTGAAGAATTCATCTGGAAACTTTTGGCTGCTCCCCTATCCTCTTCTTGCTAAATCAGAATGGCATACAGTTAAAAATACGGGCCCCAACCCGAACACAGGATTTCAAGGCTTGCTCACTGCTTGCATGATCTTAGAAAGTCACATCTGACTCCAAACCTTCGTTTCTTCATCTGAAAAACGGTGACGATGATGACAGAACTACCACCTGCATGGTGATGCTGTGCACTCAGGAAGGTTTTAGAACCACTAGAGTGGACTGGGGCTGGAATGGCTTCTGTCACAGAATTCAGAGTTCCCTTGTACTGCAGAGAGTCAAGTGCAGCTGAATGGCTGCTACCAGGGATATTACCCAGATGTTCACAGGTCATGAAAGTGTGGGACAAGATGACCTCAGAGCTTCCCCTCCACTGGTGACAACACATGTAACATGCCTCCTATTAAGCCTGTAATGGGGTAAATTGTATCCCCACCAATGATAAGTCCAAATCCTAACCCCTGATACCTGTGAATGTGACCATTCTTGGATTATAAGATCTTTGCAGATTTATGGATCTTGAGATAAGATCATCCTTGATTTAGGATGGGCCCTGAAATCCAATGATTAGTATTTTTTATGAGAAAGGAGTGGGAGATATGAGACACAGACACACAGAGGGGAATGACATATGAAGATGGAGGCGGAGACAGTAGTGAGGCATCTCAAGCCAAGGCATGCTACGGGTTGCTGACAACCACCAGAAGCTGGGAGAGAGGCACGGAAAAGATTCTCCCTCAGAGCCTCAGAAGGAACCCACTGGACTAACACCTTGACTTTGGATTTCTGGCTGCTGGGACAATGACGGAGTAAGTTTCTGTAGTTTTAAGCCACCCAGTTTTCGATACTTTGTCATAGCAGCATTAGGCAACTAATTCCATATCTCACCCATAATAAACACTCAGTGCTAGCAATTGGCTGCCACTGTGGTGATTATCAGCATGGAACTATGTGTTCCTGAAGAGAATTAGTTATTCCATTTCTATGAATATTTTCAACCCAAGATTGTTGCTCTCAGTTAACGTACTGAAAATGAACTTGGTGAAAAAGTAAAAGCTCTTCTACATATCCCATTTGTGGATAGACTTAAGAGAACAGAAAGCTTATTATGGAATAAGCAAATTAATACCTTTGGGATCAATAGAGTGTCTACAGTTCAAAACCCTATCAAAAGTGGGTTTACGTAAAAAAAACTAGTGTGTTATCCATGTGTAATATTTTGTATAATATACAAAATTCTGGAAAGGAAGACTCACAATGCCAGATCAAGTATTGCAACGTCAGTTATGGCAGGAACAAAGGCTCTTCCCAGAAGCCTGTCTTCATTGTGCATTCTTTCACCAGAACAACTTGCTGTACTTAAGGCACAGGACATTTGGATCTAGAGATGTAGCTGTTGTGACTCACCATTTCTATAAACTTGGTGACTGGTCCCAGGCTGTCATATCTGTACCTGATCCACTACAGGGATGAATTGACATTTTCAGTGGCTACTTTGAGTCCAGATATTAATAGATCAGCCTGAAAGGGAGGATGAGGCAGTAATAGCACTTTTACAAGCAATAGAAGACAAGCTCAGGGAACAAAAGAGAAGGGAAGCTCCTTGAATTTAAAGGCAAGGGCAGAGATTTATTCCTCCACTAAATCTAAGGACTAAAAGCTTAGGTGGAGAGAGGGCTCAAATGTGAATTCACTTCTCATGCTCCCTTTGTGACCTCCTTTAAGGAAGGCCAGATTTGAGGAATGAGATTTTCCCAAGGGGAGGAAGCATTGTCTTCATCACTTCATGTATTTTTCTCAGAAGGCTATTGGCCTCCTGGAATTTTTACTTAGAATTCCAGATAGTCCAATGATGCTTTCTAGGTACCGTGGCTTTCACTGTGGTGAGAGTTTTGGCTGCAGTGCTTTTCTGTAACCCACTCACAAAGCCTTTGGGGATGGTGATAGTATAGGGATTGTCCTTCCAACTAGTTGCTCTCCAACTAGAAAGGCGAATCCCTTTTTCTTTGAGTCACAGAGGATGGAGAGGCTCAGCATTCTCATTCCCTGTTTGGGTTTCCACCCCTGTGGCCATGCAATTTCCATTTATAGCCATGTATTGGCTTACAAGCCTAACACCAATCCTGACCCAAAGCATGAGGCACTCTCACACATTTCTAGGTTAAGAACACTAAAAAGCAGGATCATCAGGTTATTTTTTGTTATTTGTAGATTTCTGCATAGCCTGATGCTTCAACTTCCCAAGACCTCATTTCTTCCCAGAGTAGCTGGAGTAGCTGGACCTTTATCATGTTCTGGTATCAAATTCTGCCTTGGTAATGTGTACAATGCTTCAAGAATTGCGGACTCCATATTACTCTCCTGTGTCATGTAGTTCTCTCTTTGTGAAAGCCATCCTTCCCTGAAACCCCTCATCCACCTGCCTACCTTGCCAACATTCCCTGCTCCTGGGTTGCCCTTCATTGTGTTCTATTTATGGGTAACCATGCTTTGCCAGGAACCATGCCAAGTACTTGGAATACGAAGGAAGTCATTGATGGAGAGGACACACAAGTAAGTAAAGGGCCCTGATAAAATGCGACGAGAGCTAGGCACGTGGATTTTTATGCAACAAAGGAGATAGGCAAGGAGCCCACGAACTAGTTTCCAAATGCTGGACCCCCTTGATCAGGACCTTTTCGGAGCAGGCTCAAGTGTCTCCCAACACCTATACCTGGCTGGACCCCTTGCCATTGTCTCACCACAAGTTGATGCTATAGTTCCAGAGGGCTGCCCCGCCAGGCCACTCTGTCTTTTGCAATTCCAGGGTGGGATGTGCATTGTCTACTTGGACCTAGGAACTCCCTTCAGCAGTTCTCCTGTGGACCTGTATCCAAGCCACCCTACAAAGTGAGCATGCACTCTGATTTAGGAAACTTTTCTTGAGAGATTTATTCTATAGTCTCCCTAACATCCCATTCTGGTGTTTATTCCATTAATTTAGAGCAAACACCCATTCAGTGAAGGGCCCTGAAAGGCATAGAAAAGGACAAAGTATCAGACTTGATTTCTGCTCTCAGCTATTAAAACTGGAGAGGCAAGGCACATAGAAAGATAGGGATGACATGATATTTAAACAAATGTTCTACACAGTGTTTCTCAATATAATGTTCTTGTCCTGTTGGGGGGCTTTTCAGTAAGCAGTGTCAGTGAAAGGGCAGTGACAGCAGGAGATGATTTTTGGTTATTTTCTGCATAGGCATCCTCAGTATGGAAGGCTGTGCCCACCTACGTTTGAAATGTGCAAGCTTGATTCTTCTCTCTTTTCTTCTTTATTAGTCTAGCTAGCGGTCTATCTATTTTGTTAATCTTTTCAAAAAACCAGCTCCTGGACTCATTGATTTTTTTGAAGGGTTTTTCGTGTCTCTTATCTCCTTCAGTTCTGCTCTGATCTTATTTACTTCTCGTCCTCTGCTAACTTTTGAATTTATTTGCTCTTGCTTCTCTAGTCCTTTTTATTTTGATGTTAGGGTGTCGATTTGAGATCTTTCCCACTTTGTCCTGTGGGCATTTAGTGCTATAAATTTCCTTCTAAACACTGCTTCAGCTGTGTCCCAGGGATTCTACAATGTTGTGACTTTGTTCTCATTGGTTTCAAAGAACTTATTTATTCCTGCCTTAATTTTGTTATTTACCCAGTAATCATACAGGACCAGGTTGTTCAGTTTCCATGTAGTTGTGCGGTTTTGAGTGAGTTTCTTAATCCTGAGTTCTAATTTGATTGCACTGTGGTCTGAGAGACAGTTTGTTATGATTTCCGTTCTTTTGCATTTGCTGAGGAGTGTTTTACTTCCAATTATGTGGTCAATTTTAGAATAAGTGCGATGTGGTGCTGAGAAGAATGTATATTCTGTGGATTTGGGGTGGAGAGTTCTGTAGATGTCTATTGCGTCTGCTTGGTCCAGAGCTGAGTTGAAGTCCTGAATATCCTTGTTAATTTTCTGTCTTGTTGATCTGTCTAATATTGACGGTGGGATGTTAAAATCTCCCACTATTGTTGTGTGGGAGCCTAAGTCTCTTTGTAGGTCTCTAAGAACTTGCTTTATGAATCTGGGTGCTCCTGTATTGGGTGCAGATATATTTAGGATAGTTAGCTCTTCATGGAGGCAACCTCAAGTAGCATTATTGTTCTTTTCATCCTTCCTCTCCTACTCACCTCCCCCACTCCTGACAAAATATGGAAATCCTGTCCCTGAGTAGTCTTGTTCACAATACACAATCTCACAGCCAAAGGAATGTATTTTTAACCCTGAGACGCCGAAAACGGCTTGAATCATTCATGCTGTCGTCTATTAGTCTGCCGCTGTGCTGTTATTTTTCCCAGGCTTAATGAGCCCTCATGGCACTGCGCTGCCTCAGAGCACGGCCGCAGCTTCAAGCACAGACAAGCCTGCTCTTTAAATATGCAAGTCATCAGCCTTTCTTGGAAAATGCTATGGGGAAGGTGCTCTGGACAAGCAAACAGATGATTTTTGCAGACTGTTCTGTAGTTAATTTGGGTCATGAAGCCCACTGTGGCTCAAGGAGTTTAGGGGACAGAAAAGGGGCTTTTGAAGGATTAACAACCAGATAGGAAGAAAGAAACAAATGAAGGGTAATCCTGGTTTTCTTTTGAGACTGACAAGAAAAAGTTGTTTGAAAGGAGGACACTCCACCATTGTTGTTGTTGAAGGAGAGCTGTACTTCTGATGTCCCCCAGGCTTTGTAGTAGTTAAGGGGTGAGGGATTGCAGGAGCTGCTCAAACCTGGCTGCTAATATGACACTAGGAGCCTGGGTGACACAGGGGCCATGGTGCCAGCTGCAGGTAGCGTGGGATTGACCCTGTTAGCCCTGGACATCAAGCCTGGAGTGAGAGATGGCCCGAAAACCCCTGGGACCTGATACAAGCAAGGGCTTTGGGATCAACCAGGCTCTCACTAACAGGCATCACTCAAAAAGAAAAGCATTTATTTAATAGAGAGTTTCAGAAAATGTTCCCCTTATTATTTTTCTTTGATTTTTGAATTGGAAGGCGCTTAGAGATCCTGTCCTTTAACCCTTGCGTTGTGCAGATGAGAGATGTGAGGTCAGGGAAGTTTAGTGGGCTCAGGGACGCACACGGAGTTCACAGGGTAGCCCGATGCAGTGGGAGGGTCGATGGGCTTCTGCCTCAGAGTTCTTTTCACCCTAACATTTCCTGTGCATTTGTTTACGTGTGCCAGGGATCGCTCTAAGTGCTTTGTACACATTAAACTTATCTAATCTTTACCCTAACTGTGAGAGGTGGCTGCCATCATTTTTATTTAATTTCACTTTGCATTAAATGATGTTGGCACAGTGATGTTAAGTCTGTTGCCCACAGTCTCCTGCCTGGAAGTGACAGTCAGGATTCAAGCCAGGCAGTGGGAGCCTCTGGAGCAGCCCTCCAAACCTCTACCCCATATGGCTCACATAGCCTCTAAAAAGGGTTTTGTGACTGATCTGAGATCCTAACCATTATCTATGACTTCATATTCCTGAGCAGGGGGCAGCTGGGGAAGCATTTCAAGATACTCAAGGACAAAGCACCCATCAACATAGATGGGTGCAAACTCAATGCTATCTAGTTCGCTGCAGCTGTTTGGCTAAAGGAAAACAGAATACCTGCAGAGCTGATGGCTTGGAGACTAGATGTACAAGATTACAAGCCAGATGCAAGTCTAGTTTCTGGGGTCCATCTGTGAGCAGAGGTGTGGGTGGAGGCCCAGAAGCCAGGCTACCATTTGGGATTGACTCTTAGCTCCTTACATGCACTTAAGCAGCCATTCATGACCTTTTCTGCAGCTCAACTGATACACTCAAGGCTGGGCATGTCCTTCTGTTCTAGTCATTCTGCTTTTGGTCCACTTCTATATGTTTGTTACCAAACTAGACATTGTCTTCAAGACCCACTCTGGCCAAGTCCTGGGGTCATGTTTAGTCCTGGAAGGACCTCCAGGAGATGGAGGTAGTTCTTAGTTGACCAGAGGGGAGCAGGACCACCTGTGCTTTAAGGTCATCCTGATTTCCTGGTGGTCGTTAATACGAAAGAAGCTACACCAGGCTTGACTTCTCTGAGTCAGTGGTGTTCAGAGCCCTTGACTCACCCTGGACCTGGGCTTGGCAGGAATTTCTCTAACCTTAGGTGGATGTATGGGTGAGTCTGCACAGCAACTTACTGTTCTGGTGCATTTGTGTTGGCATGCCCATGTACCGGGAGATGCCCTAGGGACTTACTTATGACATACTGACCTAGAGAGGGTTTGCGTATAAAATTTTAACTTGACTCACTGGTTCCTGGCAGGGTCAATAAATATTTGTGGACTCACTGAGTGAATGAGTGAGTGAATGAATGAACCAGTCTGCTAAGAAGTGTGAGCACAGAATATGTGTGCTGTTCTGACACATGATGACCCTATCATCCTTTGAGGACCTACCATATAGCTCAGTTTTGACACTGCTTGTGATTTTTTTTTTTTTTTGTCTTTGAGACAGGGTCTCACTCTATCACCCAGGCTGGAGTGGAGTGGCATAGTCATAACTCACTGCAGCCTTAAACTCTTTGACTCAAGTGGTCCTCCTGCCTCAGCTTCCTGAGTACTTGGGACCAGAGGCGTGTGCTACCATGCCAGATAATTAAAAAAAATTTTTTTTTTATAGACAAGGTCTCACTGTGTTGCCCAGGGTGGTCTTGAACTCCTGACCTCAAGCAATCCTCCTGTCTTGGCCTCTGAAAGTGCTGGTTTTACAAGTGTGAGCCACCAACCCCTGGTCCCACCTGTGATATTTTTCACCAGCTCATGGCCGTGGGGAGCCCGACTATTTGCATACGTGTTTTTTGCTCAGTACTGACACCTGGTGGCAGTGTCCCAAATTGCAAGCACAGTCTCTAGCATTAACTCAGTGTCAGGACTTTGGTGTGGCGGACCATAAGAATGGGAGCCTCTGGAGTTATGCAGAGAGAAGTAGCCCTACCAGGGAAGATGTAATCTTGCAAAATAACCTACCTAATGACAATGAGTCTCTTGTCTTTTCTTAGGGCTGCATAATCAGCACCACCTGATTTAGTGGTAAGAGGAAAGGTGCTAGTGGGAAATGCCATTATTTAAAAATACCTGGAGACTACTGATCTAGTTTAAGACCAATATTTGTCCCACATTTGATATTAGAACCAATAGAATGATAGAAGTAATAGCTATGGTACTATTAATAGCTCCTATTGAGGACCTGTGAACACACTGCTGGACCCTGTATATTTAGTATTTCTAATCCTCATGATAACCTAACACATAGGGATTATTATTTCCATTTTACAAATTAGGAAATGGAGCTTTGGTTTAGTAACATGCCTGAGTTCATGGTAGGGGCTGGATTTGAATCTCAATTTGCTTGACCTCAAAGGCTATGCTCTTTCACTCTGCTTCAAGGGTACTGTGTTACTCCAGGGGTGCCATTCACATTCTAGTCAGTGTACATGGCATTTCTGGGGTTGTGTGACTTGTAGCCATCCTCTTTCCATCATTCCCACTGCCTCTCCAGGAGCCAATCATTTATGTCTCTTCTAAGCTCAGTGGGTGACTGAGGCTGTGAAGACATTTAAAATTGAATAATGTATCCTGTAGTAGATGCATTGACTATTTCTCTAGAGTTGGCATCCTAAAATTCAAAATTTTTGGTCTGGCAGCCTGTGAAAAAAATCGTATTTTGCCTCTAATTCTCAACCCTGGAGAGCGCCAATTAGTTGTGAAGTTACTTTCAAACTGAAGCCCAATTTATACTCCTAATAAAAACATCCAATGTAATCATATGTGAAATGGAGGCTAATGGCCCTATACCACCCGAGCATCACCATAGTGATGGTGTTGAGGATAAAAATGATGACAATGACAACAGCAGCGATGATAATAGTTAACCATTGTCGAGTACCCATTATTTCCTTGACTCCTTATAGACACTCTGTGAGGGAAGTAATAGTATTGTCCCAATTTTCAGAGGAGGAAATGAGGTGTAGAGATGCTAGTTATCTTACCCAAGCTCAGTTGACTGTGCTGGTAAGTTGTGAAGTTAACCTAGGTTAGCCTGAGTTCACAGGCTATGCTAGATTAACTTCAGCTAGCCTTGCTTTTAACCACCTACACTGACAGCCTTTCAATTGTAAGAGGAGCTTTGGGTTTTTGCTTTGAAAGTAGAAACAAGTATCTAGTGATAATAATATGCCTAATAATTATCCTGCACAAAATAAATAATCCAGCCACTTATCACCACCTCTAAGGCACCTTCTCATCCTGTCGTTTTAAGGTTTTGTTCTTTTGGTTCTGTCCCCAGCCAGGTTTTCTTTTCCCTCCACATGCCTGGTGTGGTGTGAGTAAAGCATCTGCCATTTTGATTATGGCACACTTGCTACCTCTTCTTAAAACATTCGTTCTCATCCCTAGTATTGTGACATTCTATCATATCTCTGATTTTTAAAAGGACATTGGTGAATTTCCAGAAAAAAAATTTTCCAACCTCCTTTTAACCTGGCATCTTTTAAAATTAAATATGTCTCTCCAAACATATTGGTGGGGAAGAGTTGGTGTCATGAGTTAAGTAGGGGTATAATTACAACCCGAAAGTTTGGGGGCAAAATGGAGCAGTTCCCTCATTGGTCAGAGTTCTGTCATTGGCCCAGCCTCCTGTCCTCCACAAATCTGAGTCAGGGTGAGACACCAAGAGCCTCCCTTGAGACCGGCACTACTTGGAAACATGACTGGCTATTTCTGCTGCAGGATTCCTGGTCCGGGCTCCAGCAAAATTATTGTTGTGAACATAGGCCTTGAAGAGGAGGCTGAAGCCGAGAAGCCAATATTCACTCACCTTTTCAACCTTCGACAAGGCTGAAATTTCTCCCATGATATCACTGGAAGGAAGGGCAGAGGGAGTCAACAATGAAGAAAGTGGGAAGAGGGAGGGAGAATCCAGGCAGGAAAAGGGGGGTGACCGTGCAGCAATAGCTGTGAGGGCTTCCCAGCAGCGTTAGACACACCCTTTGCTTCAGGGTCGCCATCTCTGTCTGCATCTCCTTCCTCTCCTTTTGACCCAGCGTCCACTTCTACTTTGGTTAGTTAAATATTGAAATAAACTCCTTTACAATGTGTGGAAGTCTCAGCTCCTCAGCATTGTATCTTATGGGAATAGTTACTCTTCAGCCTCCGTGTGTATCCAGGGCGTGGAGGCCATGCTGTGGGGACTGTGTGTTAATGTCCTTGTAGCTCAAGAACAGCTGCTCTTAAATGGTCCGTGCTGCGGTTTAGTGGACACAACATAGCACAGATAAGTGAAGAAACAAGTCATTTTTAAGTGACGCAAATCACAGTAGAAATATGCAACTTATGGAAGTGAAATCCTTTTAGTATTAATTTTTCTTAAATAGCAATCCTTTGTAGTTGTAAGATATGTAACGTATATATTGTTACCTAGTTGGATGAAAAACAGCTAAATCAATGATTGTTAGGTTTCTTAGGTGAATGATCTGTTTAATAAAATTATTGGAAATGCATATTCTTTATTTTGATCAGGTGGACAAATTGTTCCATTTCATAGTTACACCCTGACTTCCATTTCTGAAGAGATAACCCAAAGGTTACTGGTGGTGATGGAGGGCATCCCAGTCCTCCCCTCATTTGAGGGGCAGAGCTTAATTCTGGATTGTGCTTCCTCCACTGGAGTTGATTTAGAGAGCGGTTTGGTGAAAACCGAAGAAAGGGTTTATCTCAGAGCCTCCTGCTCTTGTTTGAACACGCTGCAGGGATTAACTTGTGGTTGGGACTGAGCCAGAGAGATAAATGACATAGCCCTTGTGTGCTCACATTCAGAGGGAGCTCTTGCCAAATGGGACAACGAAGGATTGTGTTAAAGAGATTTCTGAACATCTTAATACAGCAGGATGATACAGTCTGCTCTCTGGACTTTCTGGGGAGCACTGAGCCAAGCCTCAGAGGACTGTGGCATGTCGTGAGTGTTTAATATGCAAGTGACATCTAACAGGGGAAAACAAGACATTTGGAAACACCATTGGGTGGGGTGGGTCCCCCGCATTTTTCAGCACGGATTTTTTCCAACAATCTCATATATACAAAGGAAGTAAATTCACAAAAGATTGGGTGTTGGGGGCGTGGGGCGTGGTGAGGAAGGAGGAAAGCACTAAATTTTATTAGAGTGCTTCTCAAAATTGAGAGACTGAAATTTCCAAAGCAGGAAAGATTACACTGAAAGTTGGGAATGTCTTACAAATGTACATATTGTCCTCTACGCGTGATATAAAATTGTTCAGCAATAGATATTTCAGGAAACGTAATCAGTGTAAACCCTTTGATGAGGAAAGCCATGCAAACATTTTTAAACAATTGCATCCTTATGTAATCCTGGTGTTAAGGGGTGGGCTTAAAAAGCCAATTCGGTGAGTAGAGGGACTCGTACCTTATACAGGGTTTGGCGTCTAAAGCTAACACCTAAGGCATAAATTAAGCACATTTACAATTGCCCTTGAAAATTCCTTAAGTTGCCCATAAAGTACACAAGGTTTTGTGTGTTTGGGTCTTTTCAGTAATATAAATGTGGACGTGCACAATGGACAACACTTAATAGAACACACATGCAAAATAGAATTTTCCAGAATTTTTATTGCACAAAACATTCACATAGAGTGCACCTGGTTGAACGTATGGAAGTTACATGCGCATGTGGTATGACTGCAGTTGTGGATAGACCTTTTTACTGCGTCCTCCTCTCTAGCACCTAAGTGGTTCCTGTATTCTTCCCAACGTAATTAAACTGCAGGAGGAAACTGGCCATTCCAGGTTTAGACAGCTGCCCCTTTGAAAGAGAGGAAAGTGTGTCCATGCTGGGGAGAGGCAGCTGCAGGAAACGTCCTGAGCTTGTGAAAGTCTGACCCCAGGAACCACCCTGAGCTGACCTCCCAACATTCTGGTTCCTACTCCTCAGGCTCAGACCCTGGTTGGTTCACGGCCCTGGGGTCATCTACACCTCTTTGGCCTTGACCTTGGACATTCGGCCCAGCCACCTTCCACTCCACTTTTTTTTCTCATAGATTCACCGTTTTCATCCTGCCCATATTCTCCCAGCATCCAGCCAATACCTAGTTTTCCCAGCATCTAGCCCCAGTTCCTAGTTCTGCTGCCCCTGCTCTAGGCTGGTCAGTTATATAGCGTTGCTTCCCTGCAGGTGAGGTGGCATGTGACAGGGTAGGGTAGGTCTGACACCCCTGCACTCTCTCTACCCACACCGTGAAAAATAGTGAGACAACAGCATTGCATTCTTCATTTTGAAAGAGGTTTGAATGTTTTTATTTGTGGAAGGTAGATGTCATGAAGAGTTGCATAATTAAACTAGTACAGAGGAAAAACTGGCAGAGAAGTGAGTTGCAGGGCTAGGTTTACATACAGGATGACAAACCTGTCTCTAAAGATCCCGGGAACTGTTGTCACATGGTGACAGCTTATGATGGTGGCTGAGGACACTGCTCTTTACCTTTGTGTCTCTTGTCTCGTCTCTGAATCTCAATACCTGTAATTAAGAAGGAGCCCATAGGAGTTTTATCCATCTTATTTTCAGATATTTAAGCAGAATAAATATATTTTCACAATCCTTTGAAACTCTCTTCCTTCTTAAACCTTAATGAGATTCCAAGGTAGCAACAAAGGCCTTTCTGATATTACCTGTACAATCAAAAACTGAGCTTGAACTTCCTATAATTTCTTCTTTTTGGTCAAAGGAGTCACCCTCCAACTGACATATTTATAACATGTCCCTGTGATAACGAGAAACTACTCACTTATCTCTGAGTCTCATGACAGAAAGAGTATCAGAAAAAAAGATACTACAATCCTTCAAACACACAGCAGTGTGAGACAAAAATTACACTCTAATCTGCAGTTGAACAGGTTCTGTCTTCCATTAAACCTGTATCCCCATTTTATTATATAGTTGAGCCAGTTATATATGACTCACTGGGAAAGTGCATTTTATGATCTTGTTAGAAGAAATGGTTTCTCTGGGATCCTTTTAAGCCAATAATTTTATACCTAGCTCCTCCTAAATATCTAGGACATTAACTTATTAGCCATTCCGGTGTCAAGCCTAATGCTTTTTAAATACTTAAAACAAATACCAGGAAACTGTGGGGGTTGGAGAATAGATTTTCCATAGGCATTTAGTGCTTTCAGAGATCAGGGGGATCGATCTCAGGGGATTTAGTAGGAAAAGACTTGATTCTCTGCTTCCTCTGCACACAGAGCTTTCATTTTATGCAACAGGAGGGACAGCATGCATGTGGGATAAAGCCAGGCTGATTATTTCAAAACCAGGCTCACATCTATTTGACTGACAAGGTCCTGGCCCCCGGCCAGGGTTACAGCACCGGAACATGGTCTCTTCTCTGCGGCTCTGCTGGCTGGGCCTGTGTGGAGGCGGGTGGATGGGGGGATGTCCAGGCTGCAGCTGACAGGGCACTTGGAGATCTCAGAAGGCAGTGGAGGCTTGGGGACTGAAGGGGACCCGGCTTCGATGGGGTGGGGAAGCACAGCAGCTTGGTAGGAAATGACCTGAAAGAGGGATTCCTAAACATGCATGTATGTTTGCGTGTGTGCATGAAAGCAGCTGTAGATCACAACTAATCTTTTTTTTTTTTAATTGCAAATCCCACTCAATTCTTCAAGCTTTCTTGGCAGCATCTGATCCAGTTGATGGCTTTGGAAACACTTCATTCTTCATTGGCTTCTATAGACATCTCCTCCCGGGGGTTCTTGGCTTCCCTGACCACTCCATCTCTGTTCTCTTTACTGGTCCTTCCTTCTCATCCGTCATTTTAAGGTTTTGTTCTTTTGGTTCTGTCCCCAGCTGGGTTTTCTTTTCCCTCCACATGCCTGATGTGGTAGGCAGAATAATGACCCTCCCAAGGATGTCCATGCCCTTATCCCCAGAACCCGGTGAAGATGGATGTTACAAGGCTAAAGGGATTTTGCAGAAGTGAGGAAGGTTATGGATCCCAAGGTGGGGAGAGCATCCTGGTTTATCCAGATGGGCCCAATCTAATCACATGAGCCCGTACAAGTGGAAGACTTTCTCAGGCTGGGCACAGGAGGAGCCATGAGGCAGAGGGAGTGACAGTGAGGTTTGAAGTGTGAGAAGTGCTGGATGACATGCCACTGCAGGCTTTGGAGGTGAAGGGGGGCCCATGAGGCAGGGCAAGTGGGCAGCCTCTGAAGCTGACAGCACACAAGAAGAGGAGGACCTCAGCCTAGGGCCACAGGAAACTGGATTCTGCCAACAACCTGACCAAGTTCAGAAATGTCTTGAATCCCAGAGCCTCCAGAAGAGAACATAGCCCTGCGTTCACCATGGTTTCAACCTGTGAGACTGAGCAGAGAGCCAGCCGAGTCCTTCTGTGTTGGACCTCTGACCTACAGAACCATGAAACCAATCATTCGTGTTGTTTTAATCTGCTAAATGTGTGGCAATGCAGTACCACAGCGATAAAACCAATCCACCCACCACCAATGGTCTTATGATTCTAATAGCTTCAATTAATCCTATAAACTGACAGCCGGTCCCTATTCCCCATTCTGCTGAATCCCAAAGCCTCACGACTTTCTTCTGTTAGGCAACTCTGCTTGGCTGTGTTAAAAACACATCTAACCCTACATGTTAGAAACTCTGCCAGCTGACAAAACCAGAAACCTTGAGTCAGTCTGGATTCTTTCCTCTCTGTTTTATTCATTGTGTAATCTCAACTCCATCAGGTCTTGGTTGAAATGTCAGCATCTCAAATGGGTCGCCTCCGACCACCCAATTTAAGATGACAGCCCCCCTCCTACACGTAATCGTCCTTTATGCTTATCAGCATCAGTGTATTGTATGTTTACTTACCACTTTGCTTATTATTAGCTGTCTTCCCTCTTGGAATGTCAGCACATATGTGTTTTATTGTATTAATTCTATTTAATAAGTAGTAATAGAGTGGTTTCCAAGTGTCAGGAACTGCTCTAAGCATTTTTACAAATATCCACTTATTTAATGCTGTTTTTTCACCGTCATAGCTCTAGCTGTTAGAATAGTGCCTGGCATGTAGTAGTTGCTCAATAAGTAGTTGTTGAGCGAATAAATGAATAAATGAATGACTCCAGCCTAACACGAAGTCCTGTCAATTCTATTTCCTAAATACCTTTCCTAACAACCCACCTTTCTCCATCTGTAATGAACTAAGAAAGTGGCCGTATCATTCTCCTTTGTAGGGCCCTTGAATGGCTTCCCTTTGTTTGTGGGAGAAAATCCACACTCCTGCAGGGATTCACACACGTTTCTTGTCATGCCCTCAGTTTTCTGCCTCCATCTTTATTTCTCAAAACTCCCCTCTCATCCTCTCTTGCCTTCCTTACATGCTAATCTTCAATCAGCCCGGACATTCAGTTTCCCTAATATGTCCCATCCTCCCTCTTCTTCCAAGCCCCTGAGTATGAGCTCCTTACCATTGGCATTCCTTCCTACTACCTGCCCTGTTCTCTGCTTATTCTATTTTTTTTTTTGAGATGGAGTCTTGCTCTGTCACCTAGGCTGGAGTGCAGTGGCGCGATCTCAGCTCACCGCAACCTCCGCCTCCCAGGTTCAAGCAATTCTCCTGCCTCAGCCTCCCAAGTAGCTGGAATCACAGGCACGTGCCACTGTGCCTGGCTAATTTTTGTATTTTTAGTAGAGATGGGGTTTCACCATGTTGGCCAGGCTGGTCTCAAACTCATGACCTCAGGTGATCCACCCACTTCAGCCTTCCAATGTGCTGGGATTACAGGTATGGGCCACCATGCCTGGGTTTCTCCGCTTATTCTTAATATTTTAACTCAGCTGTTTCCCTCCTCCATGACAGGACACCTCCCTCACCTCCACCTCCACTGAGAAAGTGCCTTTCCTGGTGCTCACTGCTATTCTATCTTGTCCTCTGTCCTTCCCCTCTCTCTGTGTGTGGTAAAGACTGCTTTCCCTGTGCAATTCTCTCACCAGTTTGCACGGTTCTTGAGGCCATGAGCTGGAGAGTACGATCCACTTGGGCATCAAGTGCACCAGCTGGCACCTAGCAGGGACTCAGCACATACCTGCCGAGTGAGTGAATTGGTTTCCCATGGCTTGGTGAGCCCCGGCCAGGCACTCTCCCGAGCCAAGGGGGACACTTGTTCTGCCAGTGTTGATTTGCAGGCGCAATTATATGTGTAAATGCATTTTCACTGTTCTGCCTTAGGACCCAATTTTTGAAAATTAGATTTTAAATGTCGTATTCTCCTCACTTACATCTTATGCTTCCCGACATTCAGCACATAATTTAAAATGAAAGGCATAGAAAATTGGACTCATTTAGTTTACTCCACTTGAAATCCATGTGAGTCTATTTTTAAATTCTCCTAGACCCTGTGCTCTTTTAGGGTGTATTTGAGAGGAAGGAAGGGGGTGGGGGAGAAAGGAAAGAAGACACTCATTGTAAGCTGTTAGAGATGCTGCGTGTTATTGCACTTTGTTTTAATACATGCAGTTTTCACATTAGCATTACCCCAAATACAATTTCTAAAGCCAAAGACTGAAATTGAGACTCTGCCTTCAACATTTGCTGCTCCATGACGTTCTTGATTGCAATGAGAGGCTGGCTGTGGCCAGCTTGCGGGTGCATCACAGCAGGGAGCTTTAACATTCTTTCCTCTGCTTTCCAGCTGACATGTTCCTCCGGCTCTGCCACACCCATCAGATGGCAGGTGGGGAGCAGATTAAGACATGGGCATTCGCAGGGTGCACAGAACGCTGGCTTACAAACACCTCCTCTCATAGGCATGCAGGTGAACAGATGGGTGGGTGGGAGGTTCCCCTTCACCCACAGTCCTGAATCTGAGTTCTTGGGTTAGGATTTGGTATGGCAGCCTTCACATTGCACAGATATCCCTACATTGGGCTGCTCTGCATGCCTGCAATGAGAGTTTTTGGGCTTCTTGCAGGCAGGAGGTGCTGAGTATTCACACCAAAGCTTGGACATATAAGACACCAGTGACCCCTATTCTGCTAATTCATAACACTCAGCCGGCTCCCACATTCCCACTGCCTGTGCCCATCCCCGAGAGGCTTTCCTACCTTCCTTTTTCTGCTTTATAAAGCAACAGTGAGATTCCAGGAGCAAGGCCAGCAAAGCGAGGTAGGAGAGCTCATAGATAATCCAACAAACGTGTATGGAGAGCCCACCATGGGGTGCTCTCCCCATGAAACTTCAATTTTTTTTTTTTTTTTAGATGGAGTCTTGCTCTGTCACCAGGCTGGAGTGCAGTGGCGCAATCTCAGCTCACTGCAACCTCTGCCTCCTGGGTTCAAGCGATTCTCCTGCCTCAGCCTCCCGAGTAGCTGGGACTACAGGTGCACGCCACCATGCCCAGCTAATTTTTGTATTTTTAGTAGAGATGGGGTTTCACCATGTTGGCCAGGATGGTCTCGATCT